>NC_000006.12:4908484-5060000 GCF_000001405.40 Homo sapiens | reverse complement strand
GCTGGCTGAAAATCAACTGACAAAAGATAGATTAAAGCCAGGTGTCATGTCTCATGCCTATAGTCCCAGCTACTCAAAAGACTGAGGCGGGAGGATCACTTGAGCCCAGGAGTTCAAGGCTGCAATGAGCTATGCTTACACCACTCTACTCCAGCCTGGGCAACAGAGCAAGACCCCTGTCTCTTAAAAAAAAAAAAAAGGCAGATTAACAGGAGAAGAGTCATATAAATTTATTAGCATGTGATTCTCCCACCATGCAATGGGGTACAGATGGTTAAATACCCTTCTTTTTAGGGAAAGGGAGATGAGGAAATGTGGATGATGTTAGGTGGTAGGAAAGGATTTTTAGGATGATTCAATGAACTTGAAGAGCATACAATGGCCTGGGGACAAAGTCTGATGGGGCCGCAGAGCAGGCATGTCCAGGTGTGTTGACAGACCACAGTCCTCTTCCTGCGACAAGAATTCAGTTAATGGAAACTCAGGGAAGGGAGTCGAGTAGCTGTTCTTGGGCGGATATGAAACAATCCCCAAGATACAGAGTTAAGAAAAAATCAGAGAGGCCCAGAACTGTGTGAATACCAAGTTTTTATTAGTGCAATAAAAGGGGAGGAGTGTGCTTCTTATGTACACAGAGGACTTTTTTTTTTTTTTTTTTTTGAGACAGGGCGCTGCTCTGTTGCACGGGCCGGAATGCTGTGCCACCGTCATAGCTCACTGTGGCTTTGAACTTCTGGCCTCAAGGGATCCTCCCACCTCAGCCTCCCGGGTAGCTAAGACTACATGTGTGTGCCACCACACCTGGTTAATTTTTTAATTTTCTGTACAGACTGGGTCTCTCAATATTGCCCATGCTAGTCTTGAACTCCGGGGCTCAAGGGATCCTCCGGCCTCAGCCTCCCAAAGTGCTAGGATTACAGACATGAGCCACCATGCCTGGCCATATAGAGGACTTCTAAAAGGAAACACAAGAAGCCAGTAGCAGTGTCACCTCTGGAGACAGAGATTAGGAGAGCAGAGGTCTTGCTTGCTTTTCATTGTGTATGCTTTTCATCTCTTTCCATTTTCGTCATGTGCTTTTATTACTTTTTCAATTAAAAGCAGTTAATGATAAATCAGGGAAAACAAGTTGGAAGCAAGACATTTTTACCTTAAAGGAATATAAAGAACATTAAACTAGAAAGAGAAAATGGAAAACAAAGCAGCAAGCATTCAAGCATTATATATATATAAAAATAGTGGGGAGACACAGGGCTGTAAAACCGAATCAAGCATGGCTAAAACAGGAAAAATAACAGGGGAATAAAGAAGGCAGAAGGCAAAACATAGCAAGGGGAGGCAGACACAGCCAAGAGTCCTCTGAGGAGGGGGTAGGTTGGACACTGGGTGCCCATGGGTTCCCCCCGAGGGATGCCTGAAGCTGAGTCACATGGAGCTGGCGGAGGCTCAGAGGCAGAAAAGGAGGACAGAGAGAATCCAGGCTGAAGCGGGGAACCACTGTGTGGCGGGTGCAGAAGCTCCCCCAGGTCAACTCTCTGTGGCCCTGTGGCTGTGGTTTGGAGAACGATGGCTGGTGTGGAAGTGGATGTTAAGCCCCGGACCTTAGAACACCTGTTCCCACGGACATGAGAAAGCAGGCTTGGGACAGGCCGTTGAGAAAGCAGGCAGCACTCAGGGAAGGCCAGCAGCTCTGAACAGACATCTGCTGTCACACTGTGCAAGGCTTGGTTTCATTAATGACCCCATGTGACAAAAAGAAGCAGTGGCTCCCATGGTTTCATGGAACTCAGGTCCTCTCCTCTCTCCAGTCACAGAGAGCCCCGTGTAGACTCTTCATAAGGTGGAACCCGAAGAAGGAGACACTGGGTCTCGGGAAAATGGAATGAAGGAGATGTTGTTGTATTTGGAACCTAATGTGGAGGAATGGGCCATATAAATAACTGAATAGAGGCAGGGTGTGGTGGCTCATGCCTGTAATTCCAGCACTTTGGGAGGCCGAGGCAGGAGGACTGTTTGAGTCTGGAATTTCGAGACCAGCCTGGGCAACATAAAGTGACCCCATCTCTACAAAAAATAAGAATTAGCTGGACATGTGGTGGTGCACCCAGCTACTCAGGAGGCTGAGGTGGGAGGATTGCTTGAGCCCAGGAGTTCGAGGCTGCAGTGAGCTATGATTGCACCACTGCACTCCGCCTGGGTGACAGAGAGAGACCCTGTCTCTTTAAGAAAAAAAAAAGTGAGCGTTTCACTAGGAATGAGGGAAGTTTTTTTTTTTCTTTTTTTTTTTAGATGGAGTCTCGCTCTGTCGCCCAGGCTAGAGTGCTGTGGTGCGATCTCGGGTCACTACAACCTCCGCCTCCCAGGTTCAAGCGATTCCCCTGCCTCAGCCTCCCGAGTAGCTGGGATTACAGGCGCCATCATACCTGGCTAATTTTTTGAATTTTTAGTAGAGATGGGGGTTTCACCATCTTGGCCAGGCTGGTCTCGAACTCCTGACCTCAAGTAATCTGCCTGCCTTGGCCTTCTAAAGTGCTGGGATTACAGGCGTGGGCCACCACGCCCAGCCGGAATGAGGGAAGTTTGAACTCCAAAGCTAGAGTCCCTTGGTGTCTTCCGTCCTGGTCTCTTTTGTCCCAAAGTTGAGGGAAAGGGTGGGCAGGGAGGAGAGGGAAGGAAGAAGATTGGGAAGGCCTTGAGCTCCCCCTTCAGGTCGAAGCCCGTGCAGGCTTTAGCAATGACAGCAGGCTAGGAGAGCAGACCTCAGGGTGTGGCTCGTGGGCCCCCAGGTCTCCTAGAGCCTTTGGGGAAAGGGGGGTTGGGTTGAGAGGTTGAAACTATTTTCATAACAATGCTAAGACATGATTTGCCTTTTTAACTTTGTGGACACTTGCACTGATACCGCAAAAGCAATGATGGATAAAGCCCTACCCGTATCACTTAAAAATATCCTAGATAAACCAATAAAAATAATTAATTTTATTAACTCTCAACTCTTGAGTACATGTCTTTTCAACATTCAGTGACAAAATAGGAAGTATTTTGTCACTTCTACTACCAATGTATGACGTTGCTTTGAGGAAAAGCTCTAGGATGATTGAGTTTTGAGTTGAACTGGCTGCTTTTATAGTGAAACATTATTTTTTACTTGAACAATGGATAAACTATAAATATTCAGACTTGGGCATCTGGTAGACATTTTCTTGAAAATAACCCATGTGAACCTCTGACTTCAATGAAGTGCAGTGAAAACAACTGAAATAATGCATTGCTAAGGTTAAAATCTGAACTTTGAAGGAAAAATGATAATTTTGAAATACTTGTATGTACCATGAGCTTGACAGCTACCTGGTATTTAAAGACTTTTATGATGAGATCAGCATTGAAACAAATGTGATTGTTGCTATTGGATAAGAAAAGCTGCCAACATTTGGAAGACCTGCATTTTTCAGTGAACCATATTTTCCAAATGATCAATGCAAAATGTTACAAGACTATGCATAGGTAAAAGATCCGCTTAAAGTGCAAGATAAACTGACTGTAATGTAACATAGTGTGGACAGTTTGACAATAAGGTTTCAGATTCCATATTGCAACTACCTTAAAGAAATGACATCCAGTTTAGTCTTGGTGTCATATCAAAGAAGAATGTCTACAGTCTTCTGAAAAGGCCATTAAAGACACTCTTTCCTTTTCCAACTATTTATCTATCCGAGGCTGGATTTTCTTCATATCCTTCAAGCAGAAAACATATCACAACTGGTTGAATGCAGAAGTAGATATGAGGATCCAACTGTTTTTTAAAAAGCCAATCATTAAAAAGATTTGCAAAAAAGCCAGGCAGGCACGGTGGCATGTGTCTGTAGTCCCAGCTACTCAAGAGACTAAGTGGGTGGGAGGATTGCTTGTGCTCAGGAGGCTAAGATGGCACTTGTTGAATAGCCACTGCATTTCAGCCTGGGCAACATAGCAAGACCCTGTCTCTAATAATAAAAAGAAAGAGAAAGAGAGATGAAAGAAAGAGAGAGAAAGAAAGAAAAGAAAAGAAAGAGGGAAGGAAGGAAAGAAGGAAGGAGATCCAAAGACCAAAAACTTGAATAACCACTGGCCTGAGATTCTAGTAGGTCTATCTGGCAGGGTGCACGTGGTTTTTAACTGTTTCAAGGTTATGTTGGTGAGTCCCTTTGGCCCTGTCTCTCAAGCCCCACTGAAGGGAAGCCACAAACTGACCCTCTGAGTAGATTCTGGCATGGGGACCAGAGATGTCTTAGCTAAGGATCCTTTCTCCCACTTAGAAACTATCTCTGGACCTGAGTGGTTTAGGGGTGGAGGGTAGAGTGAAGGTATATTCAGTCTGGAGATACCAGTCAAGAACGTGAAACACTTTTAACTGAGCCAAGAGGATTCCAGGGTGGGGAGTATGAAGTGGGACAGATATTAGGTAGCATTTGAGCCTAATCTTGAGGAACGTGTCCTATTTGGCCAGGCAATGTAATAATCACAGGTCTGAGATATTACTAGGCACAGTGACTTCATCAGGGTGAAACCGTGTCCATTCTTCTCTTCTTTGGCCTACTCTTACTCCCATTTCTACTTTTCTTCTGTAAACCAGAACGTATTTGAGACTTATCTCAATTAATTTAGAGGTTTATTTTGCCAAGGTTAAGGACCATGGCCAGTGACACAGCCTCAGGAGGTCCTGAGAACATGTGCCCAAGGTGGCTGGGTTACAGCTTGGTTTTATACCTTCTAGGGAGACAGAAGTTACCAGGGAAATACATAAATGAATACATGTAAGGTATACATTGGGTCAACCCAGAAAGGCAGGACTTCTCGAAGCAGGGTCTTCGAGGTCATAGGTGGATTCAAAGATTTCCTGACTGGCAATTGGTTGAAAGAGTTAAGCTGGAGCTTAAGCCAAGGTTCTTGTCATGTAGATGAAGCCTCCAAATAGCAGGTTTCAGAGAGAATAAGCAGTGAATGTCTCTTGTCTGACCCTAAAAGGTGTCAGACTCTCCAGAAAAGGCCTAATAAGGGAAGAAGATTCTCTATAGAAAGCAAATTTCCCCCACAAGAGACAGGTTTTCAGGGTCATTTCAAAATATGTCAAGGGAATATATTTTGGGATAAAATACTGCCATTTCTTTCAGGGCCTGATATCCGTCATGTGATTCCATACCAGAGTCAGGTTGGAATGTGGTATGTTATTGCTACAAAGAGTCTGTTTTTTCAGTCTTAAGGTCTCTGAGTCAATGTTAATGTTGGTCAGTCACGTCTAAACTCCAAAGGGAAGACAGTAGAAGGAGGTAAGTCTGACTCCTCCTTCCCATCATGGGCTGATGTGGTTTTTCAGGTATTTTTTGGAATCCTTCTTGGCCAAGAGAGGGATCCATTCAGTTGGTTGGGGGCGCTTAGAGTTTTATTTTTGTTTTGCACTTCTCGTAACCAAGTATGACTCCCAAGACTCCCGGGGCATGCTGTAGAATAATGCTGTTACCAGGAATTTGTCAGGAAATACTCTGCATGATTGGAAGCTGAGAGTAAAGGCTTAGGATTTGGTGTTGTTTGCACAAACCTCCCATGAAAAGACCATGCACACTGGAGCAGGACAGTTGCAATTTTGGCTTCCCTCTCTCCTGACTCTGGGATCTTGAGTAAATTACTCCAAGTCCTTAAGCCTCTGTTTCCACATCTGGAAACTGAACATACTAACACCGACCTCTCAGAGTTGTTGGGACAATTAATCAGGAACATATGTGGAAGCACAGTGCCAGGGACAAGGCATTCATTTGATAAATAGTGATGTCTTTCCTTCCTTTCCCACCCCTTTTCTTCCTCCCTGCAGAGACACTCAAACTGGGATTCTGGTCATGGCCAGGTGACTGCCATGAGGACAGAGGCATCTGGCGTTAGTTCCTGGATGAAGGTAAGAGGCTAATTAAGCTAGAAAACATTGTGTACCCTGTAAATAGCCATCTTAATCATTTTCTGCTGGTGGTGAGTCAGCAAGAGCACAGGTGTTACTCTCAGAATTTGTAGAATAACCAGACTATCTTAAGTTCAATTAAAATACATTCTGGGAGCCTCTTTACCTGTTTTGGGGCAGAATGAGTTCTAGCTTTTTTTACTGTAATAGGCAGAAGGCACCCAGTGAATGTATATATGCTTGATAGGTTACTTACCTTGGGACTTCATGAAGGCAACAAAGAGAGTCTTTGAAACTGGCTGAGATTCCTCCATACAGACCTATTACTTACAATTGTCTGTACAGTTAACTTGGAAACAATACAAAAATACTAGAAATAATTTCCTAGGGATTCTGGTTTTAATGTCCAATTTCTTTTCTTTCTTTCTTTCTTTCTTTTTTTTTTTGCAAGAGACAGGATTTCATTCTGTCACCCAGGCTGGAGTGCAATGGCAGGATTATAGCTCGCTGCAGCCTCAAACTTCTGGGGCTCAAGTGATCCTCCTGCCTCAGCCTCCCAAGTAGCTGGAACTACGAGTGCAAGCCACCTCACCAGTTTTCTTTCTCTTTCCATCTCTCCCTCTTCTGCTCCCATGTTCCTCCCTCTGCTTCTCTATCCCTGTCTTCTCTCCTTGCTCCCCAGCCCCATATTCATGGCCCTGAGGTAGGGTCAGATACTTTACCCTATACCCAGCCATTTCCATTTTCTGGATCCTGTGCTCTGTGGAACTGTTAGTGGGCTGCAGTAGAGGAAAGGGTTTATCTGTCTCACTTTCTGGCAGGAACAAGAACTTCCTGATTTAGAGTAAGAGCTGAACATAAAAACCCATTCTGGTGGAAACAGATCATCATGGCATTTCCTGTTTAAAATCATCTAAAAAAATCCCCCATCCCCACTTTCTGCAGAGCTTCCAAGGGGATGACTGCTTAACCATTTCATATCCAAAACAACAAGTACTACATAGCACCAAGGGAAGTAAAAATATCTTGCCTTTCTTTCTATTATACATAATCATAATATGTTTTTTAGTTTGCATGGCTCCATAATATAAGAGACAGTAACTGGTCTTCACTAGTAATAACCAAAAGTGAGAGAAAGAAAAAGCATTATCCTTTAGAAAGAAGAATCAGTTAATGAGAGCAAGTTCAAAAATGAGTGTACATGCTCCTCCTCAAAAGTGAAGTGAGTAGGAGTGAAGCATAGAGAGTGCAGGTAGAAAAAGGGGCTCCTTAGACAGCATAAGCTGCCTCTTCTTTAATTTTTTAAAAATTATTTTTCAAGATTGTAAATATGCATAACATAAAATTAACTATTATATAACCATTTTCAGTGTACAGTTCAGTGGCATTATGTACATTCGCATTATTATGTAACTGTCACCACCATCCATCTCTAGAATATTTTTCATCTTTAAAACTACCTTCCTGAAGTTATACACTGGGCCAGACATGATGGCTTACACCTGCCTGTAATTGTAGCACTTTGGGAGGCCAAGGCAGGACAATCACTTGAGGCCAGGAGTTTGAGAACAGCCTGGGCAACATAGTGAGATGCTATCTCTACAAAACAAAAAACAAAAAAAAGGCATACACTGTAGTTTGAATTTATACCAGCTTAACTTCAAGAGCATACAAATATTCTGCTTCTATGCAGCTCTGCTCCTACCCCCTTTCAGCTATTGATATCACAAAATGACATCTTTGTGCATTGTGTCACCTGAAATATAAACTAATAAGTTTTTAAATACATTACTCTCTTGAATCATGTAGAAAATAAAAAGTGGAAGTAACAAATCAAAGTTGCAATAATACTATTTTATAATTGTTTATATATTTACTTTTGCCAGAGATCTTTATTTTTCATATAGCTTTGAGTTACTGTTTAGTGCCCTTTCATTTCAACCTAAAGAACTCCCTTCTTGCAAGGCAGGTGCTACAGTTTGGATGTTTGACTCCTCCAAACCTCTTGTTGAAATTCAATCCCTGGTGTGGTGGTGCTGGGAAGTGAGGCCTAATGGGAAGTGTTTGGGTTATGGAGGCAGACACTTCATGAATAGATTAATACCCACACAGTCACAGGGAGGGTGAGTTCTCAGTCTATTAGCTCCCATGAGAGTTGGTTGTTAAAAAGAGCCTGGTATCTCCCTGCTACCTCTCTTGCTTCCTCTCTCACCATGTGATCTCTGCACTTCCCGGCTCCCCTTCACCTTCTGCCATGAGTGGAAGCAGCCTGATGCCTTTGTTAGATGCCCAATCTTGAACTTTTCCAGACATGAGAATCCTAAGCCAAATAAACTTCTTTTTTCATTAAAAAAAATTACCTAGCAACAGGCATTCTTTATAGCAACACACAACAGACTAAGACAGCAGGTCTAGTGGTAACAAACTCCCTCAGCTTTTGTTTATCTGGGAATGTCTTAATTTCTTCCTCATTTTTAAAGGATAGTTTTGCTGGATATAACATTCTTGGTCAACACTTTTGTTTTGTTTTGTTTGTTTTTTCCTGCCTCAGCACTCTGAATGTATCAACTCACTGCCTTCTGGCCTCTCCAAGGTTTCTGATGAGAAATCTGCTTACCTTCCCAGGGATTCGGTGTATGGGATGAGTCATTTCTTTCTTGTTGCTTTCAAGATTCTTCCTTTGTCTTGACAGTTTGAGTATAATGTGTCTTGGTGTGGGTCTTTTGAGATCATTGAGCTTCTTGAATTTATGTTCATGTTCATATTTATGTTCATGTCTTTATCATATTTTGGAAGTTTTTAACCACTATTTATTCAAATAATCTCTTTGCCCCTTTTTCTTTGTCTTCTCCTTCTGGAACCTCAACAATGTATATGTTGGTTTACTTCATGATGTGCCAGAGGTTCCTAAGGCTCTGGTCACTTTTCTGTAATCTTTTTGGCCTTCAAGTCCTCAGAGTCAAGAATTCAATTGTTCTATCTTCATGTTCACTTATTCTTTCTTTTGCCTGTTCAAATCTGTTTTTGAGTCCTCTAGTGAAAATTTCATTTGTTATTGTACTTTTTAGCTCCTTTAGTTCCTTTTTGTGTTTTCTGTCTCTTTATTGATATTTCCATTTTGTTCATACGTTTTCTTGACTTTTGTCTACATCTTCAAGCTCTTTGAGCATCTTTAAGATAATTGTTTTAAACTCTTTGTTTAGTAAGTCTACCATCTAGTCTTTCTCACAGATGGTTTCCATTGATTTTTAAAAATCTGTTATACTTTTCTGTTTGTATGCTTTGTGATTTTTTTGCTGAAAACTGGACATTGGAATCTTATAATATGTAACTCTGTAACTCTCTGCCTTGGTAGGGTGTCTGTCTGCCAAAGTTCAGCCTTAACTGTAAACTTAAGGTCTTCTCAGATCTTTTTTTGAGCCTGCACCTTTCCCTAGGCTTGTGTGATGACTTTCCAAATGCCTCTGTATATGTTGTTGTTGTTGATGTCCTAGTTCTTAAATATTTTATTCCAAAAGGGTAATAAAGGAAAAATAAAGAAGAAAAAAAAGAGCAGGCTCCAAAAACAGGTGCTGGCCCTTTAATTCCCCTGGAAGTTGCTTCAGCCAAAGAGATGAGGATTGTAAAAGTGCAAATGATGGTTGCAGCAATGCTGCTCACCTCCGTGTCTACACCTCCATAACCAGAAGCAGCAATTAGCAATCACAGCAAAGATCCCCATTATTTGGAGGATAGGGTCCTTACACCCACCTTGGCTCCTTCAAGCTTTTTGCAAGCTGCCTCAGGCACACATGCATAGCTGTTTGCCTGGCTGGTGGGTGACAGCTGCTACTGAGCTAAGAGCTAAAATTAGCCAAAATCAACCACAATTTACCACCCAAGTCTTCCCCTGGATGTTGCAAGCCTTCAGTAGACACCAAAGTTCCAAAATAGTTACATTTGAGAGATCCTGCCAGTGCAATTGTTGTCCAAATGGGGAAATGGATTCCTGATGCTTCTACGCTGCCATCTTCTTGAATGTCGAACATCAGAGTGCTTCTTAGTGCAGGATTTGGATGTCTATGGCTGAAAAGCCAATGCCTTCATATTCTAGAAGAATGACACTGCCCAGGCCGGGCATGGTGGCTTATGCCTGTAATCCCAGCACTTCAAGAGGCCGAGGCAGGCAGCTCACGAGGTCAGGAGTTCAAGACCAACCTGGCCAACATGATGAAACCCCGTCTCTACTAAAAATACAAAAATTAGCCAGGGATGGTGGTGCACGCCTATAATCCCAACTACTGGGGAGGCTGAGACAGGAGAATCGTTTGAACCCGGGAGGTGGAGGTTGCAGTGAGCCAAGATTGCACCAATGCACTCCAGTCTGGGTGACAAAGCAAGACTCTGTCTCCAAAAAAAAAAAAAATGACACTGCCCAAACCAAACCAGGAGAAGGAATTCAATTTAGTTTCTCACTCAAGGAGGCTATGTACTGTTATAATGAGCTGTTATTATGTTACAGATGAGGAAACTGAGGGTTAAAACAATGAATAACTTACCTATTAAGGGTTCCTTAACTGCCAAATGTCAGGTCCTACTAATTCTAATATCTATGACCTCAACTAGTACTGTGCTCTTTTGTCATGGCATGGTTTCCTGGGGGTGGCAGGATGCAGGGAAGACTCAAGGACAGTATGTCATGACTATTAGTTGACCTAGAGAAGAAGCTTGTGCTCCCAGTAGTTGGGTCATCTGAGGATAGGATATTAATTTGGCAGTGCCTTCAGAGTCCAATGGAGAGCCCATCCGCCCATCCTCAGCTCTCAATTTGGGTGGTGGTAGGGGGCTCTATGTTATCTCTGGAGAAGAGGATGCAGCTTCTCACTCCAGTAGCATAGCTGCTCTTGGGACCAGGGATGGAAGTGAAGGTGGTCCTGACCAATACCAGGTCTGTCTCACAGCGGTCATGCCCATGAGACCTTTACTACCTCATTCTGCTTGTCCTTCCACTGCCATCCCCTTTCCCAATCTTCCTCTGCAGTGACTCCTCCCAAATCTTTCTTACACTGTAATTAAAGCCCTCTTTGTTCCCAAGGTTTATCCCAACTTCCTCCCTAAAAGTCTACTCTATCTTCTGGCTCTCCCTGAGTGCACTGACTCCCTTGCAGCCCTCTGGAACAAGTCCTGCTAATTCTTCCACATTTATTTCCAAGTCCCACAAGCTCAGAGGAACAATTGGCTTTCTTTCCCTTCCCATTGCCCCATTCAAACCATTATTTACGTTTCTTTATGCAATTGCTCTCCTCACTTTAGGTACATACTACTTGGCTACACCTACCCTCCTGTGAGCTGCTATATGCCTCCATGAATCATTGTACACATGGGGCTCTGAAGCAAAAAGTGATGAGGTGAAGTAGGGATCTGTGATGGACAGCATAGAATGCATTAATGGAAACACAAGGGCTGGGCATGTTGACTCACACCTGTAATCCCAGCTCTTTGGTAGGATCACTTGAGTTCAAGACCAGCCTGGGCAACGTAGTTCAAGAGCAGCCTGAGCAACATAGTTCAAGACCAGCCTGGGCAACCAACCCTGTTTCTACAAAAAATAAGAAAATGATGTGGGCATGGTGTCATGCGCCAGTAGTCCCAGCTACTTGGAAGGCTGAGGTGGGAGGCTCACTTGAGCCCAGGAATTGGAGGTTTCAGTGAATATGATCACGTCACTGCAATCCAGCCTGGGCAACAGAGAGGGAGCCTCCAAACACACACACACACACACACACACACACACACACACACACACACCACAAAGTGTCAAAGCCTGTCTTTAAATGTAATGTTGCCATTCTGCTGAAGCCAAGATAGCATGAAAAGAAGATTTATCACATGGAAAAGTTCCTACAGAATCATCAAGATTTGTCACTAAAATTTTAATCTATCATCTATATTCAATACAAATCTTAGAATACGAATGCTCATAACTTTAACAGAATATGAACTATGTTAGTAGACATTGAGGCTAAGAGAGATTAAGGTTATCCATGACCGTTCAATGACCCAGAATTTAATGAACACATACACCATAGAAAACTATTGAAGGGGATTGATGCTGTCTGATTTTTAAGTCATCTTCCAACTTTAATGGTGACCTCAGGGTGGAGGAAGCAGACCTGGGAACCCTTCCTCATAACCCCCACCCAGGGCACAGAGCTACTCAGCAGGACTCCTGTCTACCCAGAACTCTTTCTACTTTGTGATATTTTATGCTATTGTAATAAGGTAACAAGCATGTATGTATTAACACTAATACCGTATTGGTGTTCACAGTCCAAATACAACTTGAATTGTTTTTAGGTTATATTTTTTGTCAAATTGTTGGTTTTTTGAATATGTCACTCCCACCAAGGCAGGGTCATATGAACTCCCAGATTTATATTAGTTACATTTTAAGGCTTATTGTATGAGAGTTTAGATCTAAGATATGGTGTTCAGCTGTATCTTGGATTAAAATAATAACTGTGGGCCAATAAAAGAATGCATCATCACTGCCATATTATTGGATTTCTACAGCTCTGAAGTCAAGTGGATCCTATACAAACCAGAAAGACAAAGGAATATGAGGAGACCTCATCAGGATGGAAATCACAATTTTAAGGCAGATACATGTTTTTGGAAGATCAACCTTATGCAATATTGAGTTCATGAAAATGAGGAGGTCTAAAAGTAGGGTGACCAACCATCCTGGTTTGACAAAGACTGATAGATATTTCCTGGGGTGCAGGACCTTCAGTGCTAAGACTGGGGAAGTTTCAGAAAATGCACTGATAGTGGAAATCTAAAGTATACTCAGAAATATGTTGATCGTCTTATCTAAAAGATGGTGACAGATTGTGGTAGCTAGTCTCCAAAGACGGTTCCCCAATAAATTATACCTTCCTGAATCTGTGACTTTGTGTAATCCTATCCCCTTGAATCTGGGTTGACCTGTAGCTTTTATTTTTTTTGAGATAGGGTCTCAGTCTGTCACCCAGACTGGAGTGCAGTGGCATGATCATGGCTTACTGAAACCTCAACTTCCCTGGGCTCAGGAGATTCTCCCACCGCAGCCTCCCAAGTAGCTGAGACCACAGAGGTGTGCCAACATGCCCAGCTAATTTTTGTATTCTTTTGTAGAGACGGGGTTTCACCATGTTGCCCGGGCTGGTCTCGAACTCCTGGGCTCAAGCGATCCACCCTTCTTGGCCTCCCAAAGTGTTGGCGTTACAGGTGTGTGCTACCATGCCCCACCGTGTGGCTTATTTTTGACCAACAGAATATGACGGAAGCCATCTTGGTGTGAAATCTCAGACTAGGTCATTAGAAACCTTACAGCTTCCACCTGGGTATCTTGGCATATTTACTCTGAGGGAAGCCAGCTGCCATCTAAGTTCAACTACTTTAAAATCACCAAGCTCAAACTAAGCATATGGGGAGCCTGTGTGCAAAGAGCGAGATGCCTGTGCAGCCGCCAGCTGTCCCAGCTGTCCCAGCTGAAGCACCAGATGTATTAGTAAAGAAGCCATGTGGGACGTCCAGCCTTCAGAAGACGGCAGCCACGCGAGAGACTCCGAGTGCAAATCACCCAGCTGAATCCAGTCAGTCCACACAATTATGATAAAAAATAGTGGAATATCTGTAATCCCAGCACTTTGGGAGGCCGAGGCGGGTGGATCACGAGGTCAGGAGATCGAGATCATCCTGGCTAACACGGTGAAACCCCGTCTCTACTAAAAATACAAAAAATTAGCCGGGTGTGGTGGCGGGCACCTGTAGTCCCAGCTACTCGGGAGGCTGAGGCAGGAGAATGGCGTGAACCCAGGAGGCAGAGCTTGCAGTGAGCTGAGATTGCACCACTGCACTGCAGCGTGGGAAACGGAGTGAGACTCCATCTCAAAAAAAAAAAAGTGGAATATTATTTTAAGCCACTAATTTTTTCCTTAAAAAAGCTGTGGTAAGCTCATGCTGAAGGCCTATTTCCTAACCTACACTGGAGACTTCTTCCTTACTCCTGTGCCTAGGGGAATGTGCCCAAGCTCTGGGCAGAGTGCCCCGTGCTCATGCAGGTAGACGTTCCCGCTTCCCACTGCAAAGCCCACTAAGCAGCACGATGTCCTGCTCTTTTAGTTATCCAGGCACCAGAAGCCCAAAGGGGCAGCAGAAAAATACTGACAATAGAGGTAAGTCCGTTCTGGGTAATTCAGTTCATAAAGCTCGCTTTGGAGGATTTCATTTCTCCATGTTAAATACAATATGTTTTTCTTTTGAGACACCTCTTTTCGGCAGGAAAATCCTGCCATCATCATTTCCCATTTGAGTTCCGTGAGCTTCTACCTAGAGGCAAAATGGAAATGGGAATTTTATAATGAAAGAAGCAGACGGGGAGAGGAATCTGCCGTCTTCTTAACAAGCCAGTAAGAGGCACTGAAAATCTCAGAGAGCTGCCAATGACAAGCATGCTCATTCTCAGCGCAGCTGCTCTTTTACAAATCGTGGTAACATAAACAATGTAAAATCACCATTAACCGTTTCCAGAACATTTTCATCTTCCCAAACTGAAACTCTGTACCTTTTAAACAATAACTGCCCTTTCCTCTCTCCCCGAGTCCCTGGCCACCCCAGTCTACTTTCTATCTCTGTGAGTTTGATTCTCTTTGGTACCCTATAAAATGGAATCATAGAGTATTTGTCCTTTTGTGCCTGGCTTACTTCACTTAGCATAGTGTCCTCAAGGTCCATCCATGTTGTAGCACGTGGCGGGACTTCCTTCCTTGTTAAGGCTGAATCATATTTCATTGTATGGATGGACTACATTTTGGTTATCCACTCATCTATGGTTGGACATTGGGTTGCTTCTGCCTATTGGCTGTTGTGAATAATGCTGCTGGGAGGATGAAATGTGCAAATATCTCTTCAAGACCCTGCTTTCAATTCAAGCCACTGAATGTTGAGGTGGTTTGTTACATAGCAATTGGCAACCGGATGTTGAGTCACGATTACAGCATGCCACCAACATGGTACAAGGATGATGATCACTGAAGGAGAGAAGTGTGTTGTCCATGTGAGTGCATGAGGTCCAGCTGGAGAGATTATTACCTGACTTAGTGTCACTAGGATCTCTGCTTTGGAGTGGAAGCTCTCACTTTCCTGCGTGCCCAGGAGAAAGCATAAGGCAGGCAGGCTGTAGAGTAGCAGCCATTTAAAAATTGCACTCATAACTGTGTAACAACAAAAGAAAAGATTATTCTGGATTTGCATTCAGATTGGGCAGACTGCTAGTGTTTCTTCCACCAGGATGGTCTGAGAGCCAAGCTTGGAAAATCAGAAGCGATTGGGTCATCCAGTGCAGGACAGTTTAGCACCATGAATGGCTAATTAAGCTTGGATTCCATCACAAACTAGAGGGGATACATTTTCTTCTGTTGAAATTAATCAGGGCCGAGGAAGGAAAAAAAGAAACCATGGCCGCCTTTTTGAAACAAATCCAACAAACACGTCAGAGGGAAGCTCCACGCTGCACATGGTGATCTGGAAGTAAAGCAGGTGAGCCCTGCCCTCCTGAAGCTGGACCCTGGCACTGGTGATGAGGATAAGAGGTTTCCCAGCTGTTTAAAAGAAAACAGTGTGTCAGCCGGGCATGGTGGCTCCCGCCTGTAATCCCAGCACTTTGGGAGGCCGAGGCGGGCAGATCACTTGAGGTCAGGAGTTCGAGACCAGCCTGGCCAACATGGTGAAACCCCATCTCTACTAAAAACACAAAAATTAACCAGGCGTGGTGGTGTGCGCCTGTAATCCCAGCTACTCGGGAGGCCGAGGCAGGAGAATCACAGGTGAACCCAGGAGGCAGAGGTTGCAGTGAGCCAAGATCGTACCACTGCACTCCAGCCTGGGAGACAAGAGTGAAACTCCGTCTCACAAACAAAAAACAAACAAACAAAAAAAACCCCACAAAAAAAAGTGTATCAATACAAAAAATTTGAGGTATACTAAGGCCAACGGAGAGGATTAGGAGATAGTTTCACACAGTTCCCAAGAGGAAGGTGTGCACCACACCACAGGGCCGCACAGGGAAGCAGGAGGCAGAGCGAGAGGGGGGCTGTGGACAAGAGCCTTTTTTTGTGATTTCCTTGGGAAGAAACAGGAAGGCAAAGTAAACAGACTCGGGATTGGCCAGTTTGCTAATTTCAGCAGGCTCTGGGGTATAGGGGCTGTCCCTAATTGTCTGGTACCTGACTTTGGGTGATTAGGGAAAGTGGATAGTGGCCCAGCATGTGAGAGACCAATAAAGGAGGTGGTTGGGGTGTGGGCTCTGGATTGGTTGGTTTGTATTTGAAAAGTGCGCCCCTGGGAGGAGGAGGACTCCCGAGGAATGGGGGGTGGCACAGAGGAGGCGACAAGGGAGGCCTGAGGCTGAAGCAAAGCATACTGTTGGGTTTTCCAGATCAAGGAATGTTTGGTGTATGCATGTAGGACAGATATTAAAACATCGACTTTATAGACGCCAGAAACATGGTCAATACATTGGCCCTGTGACACTTTAACATCAAACTAAGGCACCTTTGCAGCAATGATGGATGAGACTTAGAAAGAAGGCCATCATTTGCCCTAAATAGTACAGAAAATATTTTTTATGAGAGTTGAAAGGAGGAACAAAAATTGAAGTATAAGGAGTCCTTGTAGGCCAGCCTGTATCTAAGTTTCCCATTCACATGGCATTAGCAGACGAAATAGATTTGAAATTTCCAGGGTCTCTACCAATATCTTGGTGGATTGCAGAGTATGTTAAAAGTATGAGAAATATATATATATCTCAAAAAAATTGGACAATAATATCTTGGTGTATTTCTCAGGTCATGGTGGCAAGTCCTGCAGTTATCTTGTTGGAGGGTATTATCTGAGAAGTCAGTAAAGTACATGTAAAGACTGGTGATATTTGTGTGTAACCAAGGGGATGGGGTGGTTGTGGTCGTTACAGTTGGGGACAGGGCAGGAGGTCCTGGTGGAAAGCTGGAGCATACAGTAGAAGTCACTAGGGAGTGTATGACCCTCTCCCCAGGGTCCAGAGGATTCACTGGCCTGCAGCAGCTGCCTCTTGGGGAAAATAATACTCTTCGTCAATTTTAGAATGGCATTGAGAGTAGTAGCTTCTACCAGGTTTTCCTTTAGGTGTGGAGGGGACGGTGCATGTTTTGGCAGAGAGCAAGGAACATACCAGGATCATGGGCCAAGCAGACAGTAAATTCAGGAAACACAATAGAGTTCCTAATTCAAAAGAAGAAAAGCAACAAATGTCCATGTCCATTTTGTCAGCACCTTGAGAGTGTCACTGGGTTGGAGGCTTTAGTGTCCAGGTGATGTATCTCTAATAGCGATGTCTTGGGCTAGGGTGATGTTGTCTAAGGTGATGTCATCTCCAGCTGCGAGCTTCTGAGGAATGTCATCTGGGATGTGGGTCTGAGGTACCCTGTGCAACTGCAGAAAGTTGGATGTGATTAAGATCTTGTCTGCAAAGATAGTGTGCAATGGCAAAGCTGTTGAGGTCCCCATGGGTAGCCTAGAAAAGGTAAATTGTGACCCGTTAGAGGTGAAGGCAAACTGTGCTGAAAGGTTGTTGAAGGAGGCAATGAACAGAACACAGCAGCCAAATCTGTAATAATAAAATACCAGTCATTGACTGGGTGGTGCCGATTATTTTAATAATACTGAATATTGCATATGGGGCTTTTCTTTTTGCCAGGAACTTCCAGTTTTTATTTTTTTAAACATCATTTAACAAGAAAAACATTCAACCAAATTAAAAAAAATTAGGTTGGATTATTTTACAATAAAATAATCAACTTGAAATATCAGCCCCTCCATTTAGGGCCAAGGAGGCCAATAGTTCCTGTTTAAACAGCAGAATTGCGCAATTATTTTTACCTATATTTGATGACACACAAAAATAAAAGTCTTAAAATTTCCACGGACACCCTCCCCTCCCTCCAGAGTAGAGTTCATACAATTGCATCTTAGATCAGTACTCAGGCTTTTAAAAATCATCTTCCATTTTGAAATATAATACAACTACTCTGGTAACAAGAATACTTTTAAAACAATTCTTATAGAAAACAAATACCTTAAATCATTGTGTGGCACATAAGACTGCTCAAAGAAACAGCAAAAATGAAAAATAATGTACAAGAATTATAGTCCTTTGTTTATAGAAACCATCCAAATAAAATATTTTCCCTAATTTTCCTTGCTTCTTATAGTTTATTAGCAGAGATGAATTACAAGAAGCAGAATGCACCATATTTTGGTTCTTGGTTGTAGCTGCCAGCTTAGGAGTTCATGACTATAAATATCAAGCAAATATGATTTTACTCACAAGTTCTGGAATGGGAAAAAAACCCAGATATCTCTAAAGTGTTTCTCTATCCTTGCTTTCAAGTCATGACAAAAAAATTCACAGCAGTTTAAAGGATGGTGAAAGACGAAACATGGGCCCATTAAAATAGAGATTAATTTTACGTATTACACTCCTATAGTAAAAACTGTAATAAGTATGATATTGTATTAAGTAACATTCTATAGTAAGCTGGTGGAGCAAATACAGCATTTAACAGGTTCATTTACAGACCAGGCATAGTAGCCTTTAGAGAGAACATCTTATTTTCACAGTCTTGAACATGTAACCTTTACAAAAAACCAAACGGAATATGTAATTTATGACAGCTGGCCAGGCACTTAATTTTGGGAAACAGAAGGATTTTGAGGTAAACTAGAATTATTTTTAGCAATCACAAACATAGCCTATAAACCACATTTACACCACACTGAAGTTATTGAGCTTTTAACTATAAGTTTGTCACTCCTTTGTGCCAAAATACACACCTAGGTGTAACTTTTTTTTTTTTGAGACGAGTCTCACTCTGTCACCCAGGCTGGAGTGCAGTGGAGTGATCTCCACTCACTGCAACCTCCACCTCCTGGGTTCAAGTGAATCCCTGCCTCAGCCTCTCAATTAGCTGGGACTACAGGCACGGGCCACCACCATGCCCAGCTAACTGTAACTTCTTAAGAAGCTATTCAAAGAACATGGTCAAGTCTGAATTTTGGTCTCGCATATGGGGCTCTTTATGCATGGAACCACAGATTAGAGTTGCGGTAATCCACCATCAGGCACCATTTTTTTTTTCTGTTTCCCCAAATTTTGACAAAATTGGATTGTCAAATGGAGAAGCAGTAAAGATAATCCTTCTATTAATTAGGTTTTATATAGTCAGGTTTTTACTGATACGTAGTAGGTGTACATATTTTGGGGGTAATGTGATACTTTGGTACATTCATATAATGTATAATAATCAAATCAGGGTAATTGGGATATCCTCACCTTAAACATTTATCTTTTCTTTATGCTGAAAACATTCAAATTATTCTCGAAGTTGAAGCTGTTTTGAAATATACAATAGATTATTGTTTTCTATAGTCACTCAACTCATTTATGGAACACTAAATCTTATTTCTTCTTTTTTTTTTCTTTTAGAGATGAGGTCTCCCTATGTTGCCCAGGCTGGTCTTGAACTCCTGAGCTCAAGCAATCTTCCCACTTGGGCCTCCCAAAATGCTGAGATTACAGGCATGAGCCACCATGCCCAGCCTTCTTTCTTTAAAAGAAATTTCTTTATGTATGTATGTATGTATGTATGTATGTATGTATGTATGTATCTATCTATCTATCTATCTATCTATCTATCTATCTATTGTTAGAGATAGGGCCTCACTCTGTTACCCAGGCTGGGGTGCACTGGCATGATCATAGCTCGCCTCAACCTCTCGAGCTCAAGCAATCCTCCCACCCAGCCTCCGAAGTAGCTGGGACTACAGGCGTGCGCCACCATGCTCAGCTAATTTTTTAATATTTTTTGTAGAGATGGGGTCTCGCTATGTTGCCCAGGCTGTTTAAAGCTACATTCCTTCTGAAATTGATTTTTGTGGATAGTTTAGGATATGTTTTAAGATTTTCTTTTTGCATATGGCTATCTAATTGATCTATCAGGATTAATTTCTTAAATATATTTTTAATCACTAATCTATAGTATTTCCTTTGTCACAGATATGTGTCCACACGTGTGTGGGTCTGTTTTTAGGCTCTGTTCTTTTCTATTGGTCTATTTTCTATTCTTGTTTCAACATTACTCCTTTAATTCTTGTAGCTTTATATTAAGTCTTTACATCTGTAAGTGAATTTCTTTTATTTAGTTCTTTCTTCTTAAGAATGTCTTGGCTTTTCTTGGTCCTTTTCACCTCATTTAAATTTTAGATCAGATTTTCAATTTTCATATCTAAAACTCTGTGGGGAGTTTGACTTATTTAGTGTTAATTTTTAATTGGATGTCAGAATGCTCCCTTTCTCTGTTTCCGATTTTTATTATTATAATTATGATGTTTCACAGATGATAGCAGGATTACAAAATATCAGAAAGCAGGGACTCACAGCTTGCTTAGTTAGGTAATTGCCGTTTTCAATGTTCAAATTGCGAATTTGGTGGCATAAGGTTGTTACTTTAGATTGTAATTGGAAAACTTTGGGGCAGGACTCTAGGACTTACTTTTGACCCTCATTCCACCCCTTCCCTGCTCTTCATTGTTCTAAAAAATGGGGAAACAGGTTGATTGAACACATACTATTTAACTTTCATGAAAGCAGGAATATGTTTGTCTTGGTCACTATTGTATTCCCAGCACTTAAAACAGTGCCTGGAATATAGTTGGTTCTCAATAAATATTAATTGAGTAAATGCCATGTTACATATTACCTTGCTTTGAAATTCTAAGACAAAACAATACTAATAGCTTTTAAGTAATGGTGGCTTCCGGTAAGCTTCATACCAGTTTCTCTTATAGTGTTACATATTTATTTTTAAAGCAACAACTCATTTATTTAGATTAATGAAAAAAAAATGAAAATAAATACTGTATTGTGGGCCCACATTTCAGTGTTCCAGTGATATCAGGCAACCTTAAATTTTAGCCATAAATAATTTTGATAAAAGAAACATGTGTAAACTACCCATAAACCAGGTGTGGCCGTTCATCCAGACTTTGCAGGATTAACCCAAACATTTTAAAAATACAAGCTAAAGCTCTCCCTCTCCCTCTCCCTCTCCCTCTCCCTCTCCCTCTCCCTCTCTCTCCCTCCACGGTCTCCTTCCGCGGTCTCCCTCTGATGCCGAGCCAAGGCTGGACGGTGCTGCTGCCATCTCGGCTCGCTGCAGCCTCCCTGCCTGATTCTCCTGCCTCAGCCTGCCGGGTGCCTGCGCACACCGCCACGCCTGACTGGTTTTCGGTTTTTTTTTGGTGGAGACGGGGTTTTGCTGTGTTGGCCGGGCTGGTCTCCAGCTCCTAACTGCCAGTGATCCGCCAGCCTCGGCCTCCCGAGGTGCCGGGATTGCGGACGGAGTCTCGTTCACTCGGTGCTCAATGGTGCCCAGGCTGGAGTGCAGTGGCGTGATCTCGGCTCGCTACAACCTCCACCTCCCAGCCGCCTGCCTTGGCCTCCCAAAGTGCCGAGATTGCAGCCTCTGCCCAGCCGCCACCCCGTCTGGGAAGTGGGGAGCGTCTCTGCCTGGCCCCCCATCGTCTGGGATACGGGGAGCCTCTCTGCCTGGCTGCCCAGTCTGGAAGGTGAGGAGCGTCTCTGCCCGGCCGCCATCCCATCTAGGAAGCGAGGAGCGCCTCTTCCCCGCCGCCATCCCATCTAGGAAGTGAGGAGCATCTCTGCCCGGCCGCCATCCCATCTAGGAAGTGAGGAGCGCCTCTTCCCAGCCGCCATCCCATCTAGGAAGTGAGGAGCGTCTCTGCCCGGCCGCCCATCGTCTGAGATGTGGGGAGCACCTCTGCCCCGCCTCCCTGTCTGGGATGTGAGGAGCGCCTCTGCTGGGCCGCAACCCTGTCTGGGAGGTGAGGAGCGTCTCTGCCCGGCCGCCCCGTCTGAGAAGTGAGGAAACCCTCTGCCTGGCAACCGCCCCGTCTGAGAAGTGAGGAGCCCCTCCGTCCGGCAGCCACCCCGTCTGGGAAGTGAGGAGCGTCTCCGCCCGGCAGCCACCCCGTCCGGGAGGGAGGTGGGGGGCGGTCAGCCCCCCGCCCGGCCAGCGGCCCCGTCCGGGAGGTGAGGGGCGCCTTTGCCCGGCCGCCCCTACTGGGAAGTGAGGAGCCCCTCTGCCCGGCCAGCCGCCCCGTCCGGGAGGGGGGAGGGGGGGTCAGCCCCCTGCCCGGCCAGCCGCCCCGTCCGGGAGGTGAGGGGCGCCTCTGCCCGGCCGCCCCTACTGGGAAGTGAGGAGCCCCTCTGCCCGGCCAGCCGCCCCGTCCGGGAGGGAGGTGGGGGGGTCAGCCCCCTGCCCGGCCGGCCGCCCCGTCCGGGAGGGAGGTGGGGGGATCAGCCCCCCGCCCGGCCAGCCGCCCCGTCCGGGAGGTGAGGGGCGCCTCTGCCCGGCCGCCCCTACTGGGAAGTGAGGAGCCCCTCTGCCCGGCCAGGACCCCGTCTGGGAGGTGTGCCCAGCGGCTCATTGGGGATGGGCCATGATGACAATGGCGGTTTTGTGGAATAGAAAGGCGGGAAGGGTGGGGAAAAAATTGAGAAATCGGATGGTTGCCGGGTCTGTGTGGATAGAAGTAGACATGGGAGACTTTTCATTTTGTTCTGTACTAAGAAAAATTCTTCTGCCTTGGGATCCTGTTGATCTGTGACCTTATCCCCAACCCTGTGCTCTCTGAAACATGTGCTGTGTCCACTCAGGGTTAAATGGATTAAGGGCGGTGCAAGATGTGCTTTGTTAAACAGATGCTTGAAGGCAGCATGCTCGTTAAGAGTCATCGCCACTCCCTAATCTCAAGTACCCAGGGACACAAACACTGCGGAAGGCCGCAGGGTCCTCTGCCTAGGAAAACCAGAGACCTTTGTTCACTTGTTTATCTGCTGACCTTCCCTCCACTATTGTCCTATGACCCTGCCAAATCCCCCTCTGCGAGAAACACCCAAGAATGATCAATAAAAAAAAAAAAAAAAAAATACAAGCTAAAGAGACAAGACTTCTCAATACTGGGGCAGTGATGTGCTTCAGAGACCTAGATAACAGGGGACTTTGAAGGGCACCCTCCTAGGAAGGACCTCCTAACTTCTCAGGCATCAGTTTCTGCTTCTGTTGACTCAGAAAGGAGCTCCCAGTGGTATAACTTGAGCGTATCCCGTGCCCGCAGGTCTCCTGAGAAAGTGGACTGTGTCTTCTCACTGTCCGGGCCCAAGGAGAAGATGTTGGGCTGAAGGGAAGCTCATTTAGAGGGAGGCCTTTATCTCAGGAGAGAAATTGATGCAAGATCTCAGTCCAGCAGGAAGGAGAGTGACTATCTGAAGCAATCGGATGCTTTCTTTGCAGAGGGATTTGAATTTGAAACTGTAGAGACCATCAGCACTCGCTAGTCTGGACAGAAGGAGACGGCAGGCAGAGAAAGCAGTGGTAGAAGTAACGAGTCAGGACAAACCATGGCCAAGCAGGGGCTGAGGTGGCCAGGGCTCTATGACAGCAGCCCCAGCTCCTGGAGCAGCACATGCCAGCTCAGCGGAGGCAGCTGGTGTTGCATCTCAGAGCTGCTGTTGAAACCACGCCCAGGTTGCCTGTGAATAACCTTCCTTTCAGGCCTCAGCAGCCTGCTGAGGCGCTCTCTGTTTTTTCCCTCCTATCTCCTAGGCTAACCTGGAAGAGCCTAATTAACACACGTGTAAATTAAGATCTCCTCTGGCTCAATATTCTGGAATTACACTGAGAAAACTCATTAATTCAGACCACTTCTTCCACATTTTTAATTATTCAATTTGGATTAAGCTGGAGTTTATTTTGCTCAACAAAATTTTATTATAGATATAGCTCAAATTAAAAAGAGAGGGGGCAGAGGAATTACTTAAAATATTTAAGGGAACATGCTCTTAACATGTTAATTTTAAACTATTTATTAAAAATTCATGACACAAGGAACTTCAGTTAGGTAAAATGAATAGAATTGTTAAGCTTTTTGCTTTTTATCAGCAAATATTTATTGTCCTTTCTTTGGGCCAGGCTCTGTGCTAAATTCCAGAACACAACATCAAATCAATTAAATAGGCATGATACTGTAGGTTAATTTAGAAATAAAAGTGCAACATAAGAAATATCTTGAAGTATTGTTTTTCACCACCTCCCCAAATATGTCTATATGCATACACATATACTAATATACATACATACATATGTGGGGGGGGGAAGGAAGGAAGGAAGGGAAGGGGGGGAGGGGAGGGAGGGAGGGAAAGAGGGGAGGGGAGGGGAGGGAGGGAGGGAAAGAGGGGAGGGGAGGGGAGGGAGGGAGGGAGGGGAGGAGGGGAAGGGAGGGGAGGGAGGGAGGGAAGGAAGGAAGGAGGGGAGGGGAGGGGAGGGAGGGAGGGGAGGAGGGGAAGGGAGGGGAGGGAGGGAAAGGAGGGGAGGGGAGGGGAAGGAGGGAGGGAAGGAAGGAAGGAAGGAGAAAGAGCCTTGCCTTGAAGCAGCTGGTGGGGGAGGTGGAGGAGAGTGTGACGGATCCCGCTGCTGCGATGCACGCTGAGCCAGAGGTGTGTGCAGGGCATGTCACCTGGCACTGAAGAAAAGATTTTCAGCTGCCCTAGGGGAGGGTCCAGAGAGACTTCCTGGGCATCACTGGGGCTGAGGCTTAAAGGATGGATCTGGGTGACTAGATGGAGAGGAGAGGGCACCTCAGGAAAAGCATCTTCAGGCAACTACAGAGAGTTCAATGGGACTGGACCCCCCAGGGTAAGGGTAGTGGGAAGCACAGCCAATTCTTGTGATTCGAGGTAGTTATGTTCTACGAACATTCTTCAAACCCTGAACTAGCAAATACTGAGCTATTTCTCCTGGAGAAAGCATGGGTTGGGTTCTGTGAGCGTCTGGTCACAACGTTTTCATCAGCTGAAACACCATTTGTGTTACAGAGGTTTGTTTATCAACATCCTAGTAGAACACGCAGGTCTCATCAGCATTGAGAACCTGCCCTTCCACATAACTCTTTTCTTGTATAGCACTCAGCGGGTATTTTTACAATTCTCCCACAGCCTCCTGATCTGCAAAACTCGCCTCGCCTGCCCTGCAGGTTTAACCTTTTTCACATTGTATCACCTTCTGGAACATGAGAGCCAGTCAGCACTAGCTGAGAAGGGCTTGACATGTTCCTGACTGTAAACTTCTTTGGCTTTCAGACTCACAACAATGTTGCTACCACGCTTTTTGAAAAAAAAAAAAAAAAAGCATTGCTGTAAAGGAACACCTAGGCTGGGTAATTTATAAAGAAACGTTTATTTGGCTCTTGGTTCTGCAGGCTGTACAGGAAGCATGGTGCCAGCATCTGCTTCTGCTAAGGGGTTCAGGCTGCTTCCGCTCATGGCAGAAGGCGCAGGGGAGCCGGCGAGTCACATGGTGAGAGAGGAAGCAAGAGAGAGAGGAGGAGATGCCAGGCTCTTTTTAACAATCAGTTCTCATGGGAACTCAGAAGAGCAAGAACTCATTCATTACTGCAAGGATGACTCCAAGCCATTCATGAGGGACCAGATTCCATAACCCAAACACCGCCCACCAGGCCCCATCTCCCACACTGGGGATCACATTTCAACATGAGACTTGGATGGGACAAACATCCAAACTGTATCAGACATCATCTCACGAATCCACAAATTTAGCTGCTTTCCCTTCTTTTCTGTAGTTTCACAACCTACTATAGAAGCACTTTCTAGAGGGGCCTGCAGAAGTGAATTTCCTCTTCCATGGCCTCGATGTATTTGGCTGTTGATTCAGTATCACTGAACTTACTGCCAACAGCACTACAACTCACGCTGAAGGCACCTCATCCAGCACAGGTATTGTCTCCACAGGCACATCGCAGCCTCCTGCACTCAGAGACAGTAGACAGCACTTCAGCACCGTGCCTGGGGACATTTTAAACAGCAAAATCACCAACAAAAGTACAAAAATGCAAAAGCATGGCTCTGGATAGACAGCAGGAAGGACCACTTGTTTCTAGTGTGAGAGCTGGGACAAGAAAGCAGAGGGGTCACCTTGCTTCACCTCAGCCGGGAACAGATGCCTTGGACTACTCAGATTTTTTCCCTGCTCTGTACAAGTCTGTGAATCACTGTGAAGCCACAAGTATTGATTTGGTTTACAAACACATTTTAGTGAAGAGGTGAATTTGCAGGTATGGAATCTAGAAATAATGAGATCGGACTGTAAGGCTGGAGACGAAGATGGAGAGGCTGCTGCCAAGTGACAGGCTGGCTCTTGTCCCAGAAGCTGTGGACTGCCACTGGAGTGTTTCAAGCAAGGGAGTGGCTTGATCTGTGTTGTAGGAACAGCACCTTTTCTCAACTTAAAAGTGTGGCTTGAAGAGAGGAAGACGGGAGACTGGTTAGGAGATGGATGTATCCAGGTGAGGATGAGGGTGGGTGAACGGAGCCAGGGATAGAGGTCCTCAGGGGAGCTGACCTGAGACCCCTGTGAGTCTCGGGTCCTGGCAATGGGGCGGCGGTGAGTGGTGAGGGGGAGGCATTGAGGACAGCGCCCGGGGTCCCCGGCTGGGGCACATGCTGGGGTGTAGGGCAGTGGTCAAGGGCCCTAGCCTTGCAGTCAGACACCCCTGGCGGGCTGTGTGGCTTAGACATGCTCCTCCACTTCCCTAAGCCTAGTTGTTTCATGTCTAGCATAAAGATTCCGTGTGGCAGGAAGAACACACCCCCGGGAGTGATTCTGAGATTGAAATGAGTGCTGGTGCTTTTCACCTAAACAAGGAAAACGGGGAGAGAAGCAGTATGTGGGGTGGGAGGGAGAAGAGTCTGTCTGGGCGTGGGGATTTGGACGTGCCTCTGGACACCCATGGACAAATATCCTGAGGCCATCTGATGTTTTCCGGGGGCCACGGGAGTGGGGGAGGGGAAGGTGGGGCGGAGACACAGACTTGGGCATTACCAGCAGGCAGGGGGCTGCTACCGCCATGAAGAGTGGGCAGTGCCAGGATCAGAGGGCCGGGGTAAAGCCTGCGGAATTCCCACATTTCAGAAGAGGCTGGGAAGGAGGTCAAGGAAGAGCAGCAGGAGGAGGAGAAAGCAGGAGGGTGTGGAGGGACGGGAGGCGGGGAGGAGGAATTCCAGGAGGGAGTGGCCGGGGTGACTGTTCTGAAAGCATGGACTGGAAGCCACAGCACATTTGGGCTGCAAGGAACCCGAGAGATCTTCTAGTCTAATCCTCTTTCAGTCTCCATCCCCGTCCGGATGAAGACAGCGAGATCCAAAAGTAAAGTCAGTTGTACTGTGACTTCCTAGCAGGATACCCTAACTCCTAATTCATAATAAAACTACAGACATTCTCAATTCAAAATTCTTCCTATTCAGTCACACTGGACTTTCTCCCAATGTGACAAAATTATTGAGATTTTATTGACTTACTGAACAACTGTGGTCTTTGCCATGTACTAAGATACTGTGTAGTCAAACTGCGCCTCTGAAATCTATTTTTATTGTACATTTAACAAATTTTGCTGTAAACAATAAGTTTAAAAACAATAGTCATAACTCATTAAACTGTATCTTTTAATTTTAATATGTTATTATACCTCAATGAAACTCAGTTTTAAAAAACAGTGAATAAAAAGTTGAGCTATTAAAACTAAAAAGTAATTATTTGCTAGTTTGTATACACAGACCCAAGAAATAGAAATATAGGAATATTTGGAACTTGCTCCTTCTTACAGCCTTGAGGGAACCGCTTATCCCTTATTACGCCTTGGTTTCCCTCAATGAAACTAGAAAATATTACCTTGCAAGACGCTCATAGTTAATTAATACGTATGAAGCTCTTGAATCTAAATATTAAATACTTGATGATATTGTCTGGTAAATATTATCTAACTGCATTTATAAATACTAGCATTTTTACAGCCTAGTGGTAATTACAAAGTATAGCCCATTTAAAATGAATACAAATATGTGCATATATATTTTTCCTGTGAAAGTAGGAAAAGAAAGTTGAAATTATGCAAGAACAAAGTAGAAAAATATGCCTCTCATATAAGATTGAGTGTTTCCATTGATCAATATAATTTTTAAAATGTTGTGATGATTCTTTTTTTCACTTAATTGGCTATGTCATTTGCACTCTACCTAAGTGAGATATTAATAAATTGTATATGATGTAAATAACAGGAAACAAGAAGAACTGCTGGCCTTATTCATAGTTAATAAAGAGAACCAGATGATGAAATTGTCTGAAAATAAGCCATTTTGTTTATTAAAAAGTTACTTCTGCTCCAGGGATCCAAGTAATAGAGCTTTGTGTTTTCAGAGGGAATGTTGCCATAAATCAGGGTATCACAACCTCAGCACTACCGAGGTTTGGGGCAGCTGGGTAATTCCGTTGTGGGGGCTGTCCTGTGGGCTGTGGGAGGTTGAGCAGCACCCCTGGCCTCCACCCACTAGATGCCACTAGCACCCCCTCCCTCATTTGTGACAACCAAATGTCCCCAGGGGGCAAAATTGCCCTCAGTTGAGAAACACTCCTATAAATATCATGTCCATGCTGGGGTGGGTGTACTTTTACATGTACGGGGGACTGGCCCGTAGGTTTGGCGGTAAGTCCTGGGCTTCCAAATTGGCATTTCCCAGTAGCTGGGCTGATGTGACAGCCTTCGGTTGCTCGGGCCTCCAGGCAGAAAGTGGAGGTGCAACAGGGGCTGTTTGCACGCTGCCTTGGCAGAGTTGGGGTGACAGGCACATCTCATGTGTTCACAGACACTGCCAGGCCTTCTCAGAGCTCATGACTTGCCTCCCCTTTCCCTGCAGTTAGGGAGCCTTTTGTCTTGCCCTCAATTCTCCAAAATAACCCAAAAGGTTTCCTTTATCTTTAACTCTGTTATAAACATGTTGACACTTTGCCAAACAAAAACCTGATGAAACATATTCTGAATTTTCTACTTTCCTACATAAAAACTTACAAACAACAGGCTGAAGGAAAGAATGTGTAGAGAAGATACAGGAAGTGACATCATAAAGCTGGAGGAGACTTTAGAGCTGAGCTGCTCTTGGTCACGCGGCACACAGTCCCAGTGCTCAGTCACCATGTGTCCTGCATGGCTCCCATGTTGGACGGCACAGACGGAACATCTCGATCGTTACAGGAAGTTCCACCAGATGGCGCTGTCTCCAGGGACATCTAGGGCACAGGCCTTACTTTATAACGAAGTCCTAGAGAGATTTATGTTCACCCGGCTGAAGAGAAGCAACGAGCTCAGGGCAGAACCAAGACTGGGAAGCAGCCCAGTTAACCCCACGCTGCGATCTCTCCCGCACACAACTGCCTTGTGGCAGGTCCACACCTGGAATGCCACATGGGGTTTTGGCCATCATAGCCTAAGAATGAGGGTCAGATAGGTAATTAAGAGAATGGACCAACTCTAAATAAAATGTTAGTCCAGTTCAGTAACCATGTCTCGTATACCTGCCATGTACCAGAACTTGGTCTGGTTATGAAGTTGAAAACAAACAAACAAACAAAAACCAAATAGATCCCTGTCCTAGCAGGGCACACAGACTGGGAGGCACTCCTTTCAATCCCACGTAGCCATCCCAAAGATAAAGATGAGCCCAGGGCCCAGCCTGGGGTGGGGAAGGTGGGGAAGGCGTGCTTGCTAGAGGAGATAGCATCCCTGTAAAGAAGGCAAGAAACGAGCTGGGATGGAGGGAGTTGCAGAGCCCAGCACTCAGGGGAGCAGACGGGAGGGCGGCCTGAGGATTCCCCTGACTGTGGCTTCGTTCCACTCACCTGGCTGTGCCCGGCCACCCCATGTAGAGGTCCCTCCTCAAGGCAGCATGTTTAGGGCACCGCCTCCACACAGATTCCCTTCCCATCCTGTGGCCCGCTTCTCATCCTCCACACCTGTCTTGCTCAGTGACGCTATGCTCCATGCAGGCTTATGCTTCTGGAGCCTGAGAACCAGCCTCCACTCTTCTCTCTCACACTCTATATCTAAGCTGTTGGCACACTCTATTCCTTTTTTTTTCGGTAAGTTCTAGAACCTGCTTCATCCATCCCCATGACTATCTTTGTCTCGGCTTCCATCATCTTTTTCTCTCTTTCCCTCTCTTCTTTTTACTTTTTATGTTTTTTAAGAGATAGGATCTTGCTGTGTTGCCCAGGCTGGAGTGCAGTGGTGCGATCATAGCTCACTGCAGCCTTGCACTCCTGGGCTCAAGAAGTCCTCCCGCTTCGGCCTCCTGACTAGCTGGGACTACAGGCATGCTCCACCATGCCCAGCTATTTTTTAAATTTGTTGTAGAGGTGGGGTCTGTGTTGGTCTGACTGATTTTTGAACTCCTGGCCTCAAATAATCCTACTGCCTTGGCCTCCCAAAGCACAGACTACAGATGAGCTGTGATGCTTGGTCTTCTTTATACATTAAAAAAAATTGAGATATAATTCACTGCCATAATATTCATCCTTTTAAAGCATACAATTCAGTAGTTTTTAGTGTATTCACAAAGTTGTGCAACCATCACTGCTATCTTATTCCAGAACATGCCATCACCCCAAAAGAAGCCCCATATCCATGAGCAGCCACTCCTCATCTCCCCTTCCCCTCTCCCTGGCAACCACAAATCTCCTTTTTGTCTCTATAGGTGTCTCTGTTCTGGACATTTCATGTAAATGGAATCCAACAATATGTGGTCTTTTGTCACTGGCTTCTTTCAATCAGCATGTTTTCAAGTTTGTTGAAAGGTTTCCATGTTGTAGCACACATCAGTATCATCACTTTATTCCTTCTTATGGCCGGACAATATCCTCTTGTATGGATATAGTGCTTTTGTTTATCCATTCACGGGTACATAACAGTATGCTTTTGTCTGCCCGTGGACATCAGGGTTGTGTCCACTTCGGGGGGATTATGAGTAGTGTGACTATGCGCATTCCTGTGTTAATCCATTTGGGCTGCTATAGGAAAATACCACAGCTGGGTGGCTCACAAACAACAGAAATTCATTTCTCACCATTCTGGAGGCTGCAGGTTCAAGAAAAGGTACCAGCAGATTTGGTGTGTGCTGAGGACTTGTTTCCTGGCCCATAATGGCACCTTCTCACTATGTCCTCATATGGCAGAAGGGGCCAATGAATGCTCTGGGTCCTCTTTTATATGGCAGTAATCCCATTCATGAGGGCTCCATTCTTATGACCCAGTCACCTCACGAAGGCCCCGCCTCCAAATACCATCACCTTGGGGGTGAGGATTTCAACATAGGAATTTGGGGGAGACACACACCTTCAACCTATAGCAACTCTTGCTCAAGTGTTTGTGTGGACATATGGTTTCACTTCTCTTGGGTACGCCTTCATCTCTTCATAAGATTGGTGAATACATTCCTCAGTTTTTCCTGCCTCCAGACTTATCCTCTCAACCCACTCTCCAACCTTTTAGTCAAATTTATTTATTTATTCATTCATTCATTCATTCATTCATTTATTGAGACAGAGTCTCACTCTGTCTCCCAGGCTATTCATTCATTCATTCATTCATTCATTTATTGAGACAAAGAGTCTCACTCTGTCTCCCAGGCTAGAGTGCAGTGGTGTGATCTCGGCTCACTGCAACCTCTGCCTCCCGGGTCAAGCAATTCTCCCGTCTCAGCCTCCCGACTAGCTGGGACTATAGGCGCGCAGCACCACACCCGGCTAATTTTTGTATTATTAGTAGAGATGAGGTTTCCCCATGTTGGGCAGGCTGGTCTCGAACTCCTGAACCCAAGTGATCCGCCTGCCTCGGCCTCCCAAAGTGCTGGGATTATAGGCGTGAGCCACTGCACCCAGCCTAGTCTAGTTTTTTTAAACATGTAAATCTTTTAAATGTGTAAGTTGTATCATGCTGAACCCTGTATGTAAAATCTTTCCATAACTTTCCATTGCACTGAGAAAAAAATGGCCAAAGCTTCATCTGGCCTTCCTCTTCAACCCCGTCTCTGGGGGATGGGGGAGGGGAGTTGGAGATGGGGCTGGGAACACCCGTCTGTTTCCCCCAGCTCGCTTTAGGGTACAGTGGGGCTACAGTCCTCCGTAGCATAAACGCTGTTGCCACTTGCCTCTCTCCTGTGCCCAGCCCTCCACCAGCCCGGGGCACTTAAGCACCCTGAAAGGGAAAGGCTGCGGTGCCACCGGTCCTGTTGTCTCCAGGGCCCCTCCTGAAAACTCCATGGCACAAGACCCCTGAAGGTGAGAGCTGAGAGGGCCTTGGGGAGCACCCAGCCTGGCTGGCTTTCCAGCTGTGCCCTGGGCAGCTTTGTGCTGCTGGGGACCTGTCAGAGCTGGGAACCAAGGAGTGGCGCTGAGTTCCAGGGCTCTGTGGGTGTGTTTCCTGGCAGTTTTGTTTGAACAGAATTTTTATCAGCAGAAAGAAAAAGGGATCTGAGCTGATGTGGTGGCTCACACCTGTAATCTCAGCACTTTGGGAGGCCGAGTCAGTGGATCACCTGAGGTCAGGAGTTCAAGACCAGCCTGGCCAACATGGGGAAACTCCGTCTCTACTAAAAATACAAAAATTAGGCCAGGTGCGTTGGCTCACGTCTGTAATCTCAGCACTCTGGGAGGCCAAGGTGGACAGATCACTTGAGGTCAGGAGTTCAAGACCAGCCTGGCCAACATGGGGAAACACTGACTCTATCAAAAATTATAAAAAATTAGGCAGGCGTGGTGGCAAGCACCTGTAATCCCAGCTACTCAGGAGGCTGAGGCAAGAGAATCGCTTGAACCCAGGAGGCAGAGGTTGCAGTGAGCCAGGATTGTGCCACTGCACTCCAGCCTGGGCAACAGAGTGAGACTCCATCTCAAAATAATAATAATAGTAAAATAAATAAATAAAAATACAAATACAAAAATTAGCCAGGCATGGTGGCAGGCGCCTGTAATCCCAGCTACTCGGAGGCTGAGGCAGGAGAATCACTTGAACCCAGGAGGTGGAGGTTGCAGTGAGCTGAGATAGCGCCACTGCACTCCAGCCTGGGTGACAGAGTGAGACTCCATCTCAGAAAGTAAAACAAAACAAAACAAAACAAAACAAAATAAAAATAAATATATAAAAAGAAAAGGGGATCTGAGAACAGATTAATTTAATACAGCCCCCTTCATTTATAGAGGAGGAAACCCAGGCTAAGCCAAACGCAGCTCCTTCTTCTCCAGGCCAGAAGCCAGGAGTTGCTGTCCACTGCCTCTCCCGGGGACCCATGGACACATGGCAGTGGCTCTGCCTTCCCCAGGAAGCCTATGGAGTCACCAGGGCAGGCTCAGCGCTCCGGGACACCAGGGCACAGAATGAATGCTGGAGAGAAAACAAGACATGGGCTAACAAAGGCAGAAACAGCAGAGTCACCTGCTCCGGCGGGGCAGAGACCAGGAAAGTGACTCTCTAGCGACTCGGGAAGTGCTGCCTCCAGAAACTCCGTCCAGACCCGCAGAGAGCAAAACCTCAGAGGAGACCTCACGTGACCAGGCTTTAAAGAAAGTTTGTGGGGAGGGGTCCCAGAAATAAACGAAGGGAGGAAGGAAAGAAAGGCGCTGGGTGGGAGCCTCAGGAGAGGCTCTGGGAGGCGGGAGGCTAAGCTGTCCCCCTCCCTCCTCGCTCCCTCCCTCCGCACCCACCCCGGGAGCAGCGGCTGTCGGGATCCAGCTGCAATTTTTCAAACCAATTAAGGAGAAGTGCCTCGGTCGCAGGAGGGAGCGCTGTCGGCCTCTCCTGACTCAGCAGGCACAGACCAGGACCTTTGGGGACGCGATCGGAGGGCTCTAATTGATCCTCTTTAAGGAAGAAATCAAAAGTAGCAGCAGCTACTCTTTAGACTTTAAACTACTGAAGGGGCTTTCAACAGAGGTTTTCCACGGAGCGCGCGGCTTCCTGGCTGCCTTAACTGTCTGTACGCCGGCAGGTTTCCCTCTTCACTCCCATTGTCTCCTGCACAGGCCTCCTGTCCTGCATTCAGCAAAGAACCTCCTCGAATTTGCATTCGGTGTGACATTGCCATCCAAAACAAAGAGGCCCAAGTGTCTGCGGCTGAGAAAACTCACAAAGACTTTTGTGCGGGGTCTGAAACCGCCAATCCTCAGTTACAAGTGAGTGGAAACAAAGCCGTGGAATAAAGCAGAGACCGAGAGCCAACCCCCTCTTCGGTTATTCTGCAACTCTTGTAGGCCAAATCGCTCGATGTCCCCCAGTTTGTTTGGCATTGTGTGGATGTTTCTTCAGAAGAAAAGCCCGAGGTACCTGATTTACCTCCAAGACTGAGATCAGAACAGGAAGATCTGGGCTTCTGACCCCGCCCTTGGGGAAGAAGGTGAAGTCAGGATTGCTGTCCTTAGATCCCACACCCACCTTCTCTATCTTCCACAACATGAAGGCAGGAGTGCTTCTGCTCTTCTATAAAAATTGGGTGGCAGCAAAATCCTCACTGACTGTTGTTTATGAAAACACAAGTCTTAGTGCAATGTTACCCATATAAACATGGAACCCCAATATGGCCCATCCTTGCCTAGTGTCACCTTCCAAAAAATACTAGCCTGACATAAAGTAAGACTGAAAGCAGTCCAAACCTTTATGTAGTCCTTTGAGGTAATGCTAAGAAGAAACATTTGTTCTTAAGACACAGCAAAACATCTATTAAAAATTATGTCTCTTGATCTCCCCCGCCCCCCACACTCCCTTACCACCACCTTTCAGCCTCCTGAAGACCCTGCCTCTGACACCCTCAACTGTCTAAGACCCAGCCCGCAAGACCCCTCTCTCTCCTCTCTCTCCTTCATTCTCCATTCTCTGCTTCTCTCTCACTCTCTCTCTCTCTCTCTCTTTATAGAGACAGGGTCTCACTCTATCACTCAGGCTGGAGTGCAGTGGCACAATCATGGCTCACTGTATCCTCGAACTCCTGGGCTCAAGTGATCCTCCCACCTCAGCCTCCTGAGTAGCTGGGACTACAGGCATGCACCACCCACATGGCTAATCTTTTTATTTTTGTAGAGACAGGGGTCTTGCTGTGTTGCCCAGGCTGGTCTCAAACTCCTGAGCTCAAGCAATCCTCCCACCTCGGCCTCCCAGAGTGCTGGGATTGCAGGTACGAGCCAACACACCTAGCCTCTGCCTATCTCTATTCTATCATCCATTTAACCTTTCTGGATGCTATAATTTTCTTTTTAAAAAAATTTTCCTAGCACCTGGGTTCTGCGCAAATTATATCCCAGAAACCAGGAATTGATCTAGCAAGAAAGTTGGAGGTGACCAGAGGAGCAGGGAGGAAGAAAACTGTTCAAAGGTAAATATATACAGTTTTTTTGTCCCTCCCTTGTTTGACCTTTGTGGGGCTCTGCCCAAGGGGAGCATGTTTATTGCACCTCCCTGTGAAGCTTTGCCTCAGCCCCATACCCACCTCTGCCTTTTCTCCTTCTGGCAGATCAGGAACCCCAGAACCTGGGAGCAAAGACCCTGGCTTAAGGACTTCCTCCCTCTCTCCTCCAGAGCCTCTGTGTGTAGCAGGCCGAGGGCGCTCACTGTACTGTTTCCTTCAAAGGGGCCTTTGGCCGGTAAATGGCCTATGCTGCCAATCAGAGCCAGCATGGGACAGCCCAGCCCCAAGTCTGAGAAGGCTGGAGGTGTCTCTGGATCGGCACCACCCATATTTGGGGCTTGTGAGAAATCAAGGGAAAGTGGCTAAAGGATTGAAACAATCCCGTTTGTCACCCACCCAACCACACCGAAAGTAAATCAGGGCATGGAGTCCACACGCTGCACCCCAGCATGGCTCTGGGCGCAGAGGGAGCTATCAGGGCTGGGGTGTGTGGCCCTCATTGGCAGTCTGTGAACTTGATGCTTTCACATGCACCCTGCAAGCACGTGCCTGACACGCCTTGCTCTGGACATTTCAGGCCACCATGTTCAGTGGAGGGAGGATGTGTTTTGGAGCTGTTCACATGCTTCCAGCCCCACACGGAGTTAGTGTGTGGCATCCACCTTGGGCCACGGCCCCCACCAAGGTGCTGTTCTGGACCTAGTCTCATGTTGTTGCTGTCTATATTCATCCGTGACTGTGATATGAGATCCCATCGTTGGAGACCCATGGTATGACGTCTAAGGAAAAAGAGCAAGCAGCATTTCCTTCTGGCCCCTTTTAAAACCCCAGAGCGGGTCATGCAGTTGATTTAGGAGTGCAGAGCATCCAGCAGTGTGCCCAGACTTTATTGAGCACTGCTGCCTGTGAACTCAACAAGGGCCTGTAGCCTAGAAAATTGGGGCAAGGCCACAGTAGCCCGGCTAGATGCTGACCCCACCCTGGCAAGGTTGCTTGGGACACTCTGGAAAAGAAGACCACTGCCTACAGGCAGGGCCACTCCACTCGGAACCACCAGAGTTTATCCAGTAAACACTGAAAGGTAAAAAGGGCTGGACACAGGAGACAGAAAATTTTTTCTTTCCCACCTAGAGATATAAGGCATTCTGAACGATTTTGCCATGCTGCACGTGGTGGCTCTGTAATCCCAGCACTTTGGGAGGCCAAGGCCGGCTGATCGCTGGAGCGCAGGAGTTAGAGACCAGCCTGGGCAACATGGCGAAACCCTGTCTCTACCCAAAATACAAAAATTGGTACAAAAGTCAGCAGGGTGTAATGGCATGTGCCTGTAGTCCCAGCTACTTGGAAGACTGACAGGGGAGGATGGCTTGAGCCTGAGAGGTGGAGGTTGCAGTGAGCTGAGATGGCACCACTGCACTCCAGCCTGGGCAACAAGAGCCAGACCCCATTTTAAAAATAAATAAGTAAATAAATAGATAAATAAACGATTTTGCCCAGATAGACAATGAAAAAGGACTGATACTTCAGGCAAGGGGTCTAAGTGCATTGTTACACATGGTTAGACAGGGGCTTCTAAATGTGCTCTTGGATCTAAATCGCGGGAGAGACTGCGATTACTCTTTAACTGCAAACCTCAATCTGTGGGAGGTGGAGTGGGAGTCTTTGAAGCCCAAGGAGGAAAAAGCAACCCAGATATGGGGGAAAAAAATAAGAGCTAAATAAATAACGTGTCTATAATATTTTTAAATTTTAAAATTTATATGTATTTACATATACAAAGGTCCACAATTTAACCCAATTGGAAATCCAAAAATTTCCAATTCGTAGACTTAATCAATGCAGAAGCTCAAATTATACTTTGAGATGCCACTAAGTTTAAACACTGTACTCCCGATAATCTTAGGAAAGCAAATATAAAATAGAGGAAATATAGGTGTGGCACACTTTATACTCTTGCCTAACTATCCCATAGTCATAGTAGCCATTGCCCTAAAATATCTGATATTAGGAACAGATGTGCTAACACAATGAATAATAAATTTAAAAAGTCAAATTTTTGGCACTTACAAATTGGCTTGATTAAAATGGGATCCCAGCGGCTGCGCACGGTAGCTCGCACTTGTAATCCTAACACTTTGGGAGGCCGAGGCAGGCAGATCACCTGAGGTCAGGAGTTCAGGACCAGTCTGGCCAACATGACGAAACCCCTTCTCTACTAAAAATACAAAAAATAGCCAGGCGTCATGGTGGCTGCCTGAACTATAATCCCAGCTACTTGGGAGGTTGAGGCAGGAGAATGGCTTGAACCCAAGAGACAGAGGTTGCAGCAAGCCGAGATCGCACCACTGCACTCCAGCCAGGGCAATAGACGGAGACTCCCTCTCAAAAAAATAAATAAATAAATAAAAAATAAAAATAACAAAATGGGATCCCACAGATCCACAGTTAAAATAGTTAATATAGCCTTACGTAAGTTAAGACAGGGATTAAAACGTATGTAGTATCTACCTAAAAGAAAGGAAATCAATATATGGAAGAGATTCTGCACTCCACGTCTAGTGCAGTACTCTTCATGATCGCCAAAATTTGGCCAGGTGCAGTGGCTCACATCTGTAATCCCGGCACTTTGGGAGGCTGAGACGAGCAGATCACTTGAGGCCAGGAGTTTGAGACCAGCCTGGCCAACATGGCAAAATGCTGTCTCTACCAAAAATACAGAAAATATCTGGGCATGGTGGCACACGCCTGTAGTCCTAGCTAATCAGGAGGGTGAGGCAGGAGAATTGCTTAAACCCGGGAGGTAGAGGTTGCAGTGAGCCGAGATTGTGCCCATCAACAGATGAATGAAGAAAAAAAACGTGATACACACACACACACACACACACACACACCAGAATATTATACAGCCATAGAAAGAAATGAAATCTTGTCATTTGCAGTAATGTAATGTGGATGGAGCTGGAGGCTGTTATCCCAAGTGAAATAACTCAGAAACAGAAAATCAAATACTGCATGTTCTCAGTCACGTGAAACTGAAGAAAGTGGATCTCATGAAGATATACTCTATCCAGTAGTTACGAGGCCAGGAAGGGTAGTGAGAAGGAGGGAGGGTGAAGAGAGGTTGACTAATGGGTACAAAAATACAAGTAGCTAGACACGGTGGCTCATACCTTTAATCTCAGCACTTTGGGAGGCCACGGTGGGTGGATCACTTGAGCTCAGGAGTTTGAGACCAGTCTGGGCAACACAGCAAGACCCCATCTCTACAAAAAATACAAAAAAATTAAAAATATATTTAAGAAATTAATGCTGACAGATCAATTAGATAGCCATGTGTAAAAAGAAAATCTTGAAACACATCCTAAACCACCCACAAAAATCAATTTCAGAAGGAATGTGGCTTTAAACATAAATATTAAAAAATAAAATAAATTATTTTTATAACTTTGAGTAGGGAAATATTTTTTAAACAGATAACAAAAACCAATAGCTATAAAGAAAGAGATTGATAAATTAGACCGCATTCAAATTAATAATTTTTATTTATCAAAAGACCATTAAGAAAGTGAAGAGGCAAGTTTTAGAGTGGGAGAAAATATATACATACAGGTAACAGACAAAGGAATCACAACCAGAATGTGTAGAGAACTCCTATAAACAATAAGAAAAAGACAAATAATAGAAAAATGAGTAGAAGGCTGAATAGATAATTTATTAAAAATCATCTCCAAATGTGTTCAATTTCCTCAATAATCATGTAAATGCAAATGAAAATCAATGAGATATCACCACACATCCTCCAGAATAGCTAAATTAAAGGAGACTGATGGGGATTCCTGGCAAGATATCTGAATAGGAACAGCTCCAGCCTGCAGCTTCCAGCAAGATCAACAAAGAAGATGGGTGTTTTCTGCATTTCCACCTGAGGTACCTGGTTCATCTCAATGGGACTGGTTGGACAGTGGGTGCAGCCCGTGGAGGGTGAGCCAAAGCAGGGCGAGGTGTCACCTCACCCAGGAAGCGCAAGGAGTTGGGGGATTTCCCTTTCCTAACCAAGGGAAGCCGTGAGAGAATGTACTGGGAGGAACAGTACACTACTGCCCAGATACTGTGCTTTTCCCATGGTCTTTGCAACCGGCAGACCAGGAGATTCCCTCTGGTGCCTGGCTTGGTGTGTCCCACGCCCACGGAGCCCAACAAGCTACGATCAATTGGCTTGAAATTCTCGCTGCTAGTGCAGCAATCTGAGATCAACCTGGGATGTTGGAGCTTGGAGCGGGGAGGGGCATCCACCATTGCTGAGGCTTGTAGACGGTTTTTTGCTCACAGTGTAAACAAAGCTTCTGAGAAATTCAAACCAGGCAGAGCCCACTGTGCTCAGCAAGGCCAACGGCCTCTCTAGATTCCACATCTCTGGGCAGGGCATCTCTGAACAGAAGGCAGCAGCCACAGTCAGGGACTTACAGATAAAGCCCCCATCTCCCTGGGACAGAGCACCTAGGGGAAGGGGCAGCTGTGGGCACAGCTTCAGGGACTTAAACGTCCCTGGCTGACAGCTCTGGAGAGAGAAGTGGTTCTCCCAGCACAGCATTCGAGCTCTGATAATGGACAGACTGCCTCCTCAAGTGGGTCACTGACCCTCGTGTAGCCTGACTGGGAGACACCTCCCAATAGGGGCCAACGGACACCTCATACAGGAGAGCTCTGGCTGGCAACTGGTGGGTGCCCCTCTCGGATGAAGCTTCCAGATGAAGGATCAGGCAGCAAACTTTGTTGTTCTGCAGCCTCCACTGGTGATACCCAGGAAAACAGGGTCTGGAGTGGAGCAAACTCCAACAGACCTGCAGCTGAGAGGTCTGACTGTTAGAAGAAAAACTAACAAACGAAAGGAATAGCATCAACATCAACAAAAAAGACATCCACACCAAAACCCCATCTGTAGGTCACCAAATCAAAGACCAAAAGTAGATAAAACCACAAACATGGGGAGAAACCAGCGCAGAAAGGCTGAAAATTCCAAAAAGCAGAATGCCTCTCCTCCTCCAAAGGATCACAACTCCTCGGCAGCAAGGGAACAAAACTGGAGGGAGAATGAGGTGGAAGAATTGACAGAAGTAGGCTACAGAAGGTCGGTAATAACAGACTCCTCTGAGCTAAAGGGGCATATTCTAACCCACCACAAGGAAGCTAAGAACCTTGAAAAAAGGTTAGATGAATTGCTAACTAGAATAAGCAGTGTAGAGAAGACTATAAATGACCTGATGGAGCTGAAAAACACAACACGAGAATTTCGTGAAGCATACAAAAGCTTCAATAGCCAAATCAATCATGTGGAAGAAAGGATATCAGTGACTGAAGATTGACTTAATGAAATAAAGCAAGAAGACAAGATCAGAGAAAAACAGAGTGAGAAGAAATGAACAAAGCCTCCAAGAAATATGGGACTAGGTGAAAAGACCAAATCTACATTTGATTGGTGTACCTGAAAGTGATGGGGAGAATGGACCAAGTTGGAAAACACTCTTCAGGATATTATCCAGGAGAACTTACCCAACCTAGCAAGGCAGGCCAATATTCAAATTCAGGAAATACAGAGAACACCATAAAGATACTCCTCGAGAAGAGCAACCCCAAGACACATAATCATCAGATTCAACAAAGTTGAAATGAAGGAAAAAATGTTAAGGGCAGCCAGGGAGAAAGGTCGGGTTACTCACAAAGGGAAGCCCATCAGACTAACAGCAGATCTCTCTACAGAAACCCTACAAGCCAGAAGAGAGTGAGAGCCAATACTCAACATTCTTAAAGAAAAGAATTTTCAACCTAGAATTTCATATCCAGCCAAACTAAGCTTCATAAGTGAAGGAGAAATAAAATCCTTTACAGATAAGCAAATGCTGAGAGATTTTGTCACCATTAGGCCTGCCTTACAAGAGCTCCTGAAGGAAGCACTAAACATGGAAATGAACAACTGGTACCAGTCACTGCAAAAACATGCCGAATTTTAAAGACCATCAACATTATGAAGAAACTGCATCAACTAATGGGCAAAATAACCAGCTAACATCATAATGACAGGATCAAATTCACACATAACAATCTTAACCTTAAATGTAATTGGTCTAAATGCCCCAATTAAAAGACACAGACTGCATCAGTGTGCTGTATTCAGGAGACCCACTTCACGTGAAAAAACACACATAGGGTCAAAATAAAGGGATGGAGGAAGATCTACAAAGCAAATGGAAAAAAAAAAAAAAAAAAAAGCAGGGGTTGCAATCCTAGTCTCTGATAAAACAGACTTTAAACCAACAAAGACCAAAAGAGAAAAAGAAGGGCATTACATAATGGTAAAGGGATCAATGCAACAAGAAGAGCTAACTATCCTAAATATATATGCACCCCATACAGGAGCACTCAGATTCATAAAGCAAGTACTTAGAGACCTACAAAGAGACTTAGACTCCCACAGAATAATATTGGGAGACTTTGATACCCCACTGTCAATATTAGACAGATCAGTGAGACAGAAAATTAACAAGGATATCCAGGACTTGAACTCAGCTCTGGACCAAGCGGACCTAACAGACATCTACAGAACTCTCCACCCCAAATCAACAGAATATACATTCTTCTCAGCACCATATCGCACTTATTCTAAAATTGACCACTTAATTGGAAGTAAAGCACTCCTCAGCAAACGTAAAAGAGCAGACATCACAACAAACTGTCTCGCAGACCACAGTACAACCAAATTAGAAATCAGAATTAAGAAACTCACTAAAAACCGCACAACTACATGGAAATTGAACAACCTGCTCCTGAATGACTACTGGGTAAATAACGAAATGAAGGCAGAAATAAATGTTTTTGGAAACCAATGAGAACAAAGACACAATGTACCAGAATCTCTGGGACACATTTAAAGCAGTGTGTAGAGAGTAATTTATAGCACTAAATGCCCACAAGAGAAAGCAGGAAAGATCTAAAATCGACACCCTAACATCACAATTAAAAGAACTAGAGAAGTAACAGCAAACAAATTCAAAAGCTAGCAGAAGACAAGAAATAACTAAGGTTAGAGCAGAACTGAAGGAGATAGAGACATGAAAAATCCTTCAAAAAATTAAAGATTCTAGGAGCTGGTTTTTTGACCCATAGCTGCAACCTTTACATTTAGATACTGCAGTGGGCATAGTGAGTTCTCCATGAGTTCACAGTGCAATGTACATAGTGAGTTCTCTGCAAGTTCAAAGTGCAATGGACATAGTGAGTTCTCTGTGAGTTTACAGTGCAATGGACACAGTGAGTTCTTTGTGAGTTCACTGTGGAATATGCGCAGTGAATTCTCTGTGAGTTCATAGTGCAATGGACTTAGTGAGTTCTCTGGCTCATGGAAGGGAGGAATCTACTCCAAAGACTAGGGGCAAAACTATAAATGAAAACTGAGGCTGGGCGTGGTGGCTCATGCCTGTAATCCCAGCACTTTGGGAGGCCAAGGCAGGTGGATCACCTGAGGTCAGGAGTTCGAGACCAGCCTGGCCAACATGGTGAAACTCTGTCTCTACTAAAATTAGCTGGGCATGGTGATGGCCACCCATAATTCCAGCTACTTGGGAGGCTGAGGCAAGAAGAAGAATTGCTTGAACCCAGGAGGTGGAGGTTGTGTTGAGCCAAGGTTGGGCCACTGCACTCCAGCCTGGGTGACAGAGTGAGACCCTGTGTTGGGGAAAAAAATAATAGATGTCATACATAGTATATTCCCTGACCACAACAGGATGAAGTTAGAAATCAATAATAGAAGGAAAACTAAAAAAATTAAGCAATACATTCATAAACAACCACAGGTCAAAGAAGAAATCAAGGGAAATTAGAAAGTACTAGAGACCAGTGAAAATGAAGACAGCATACTAAAACTTATGAGACACTTTGAAAGCAATCCTAAGCGGGAAATTTATAGCTGTATTACATTAAAAAGGAAGAAAGATTTCAAATCAACAACCAAACTTTACAACTTAAGAAATGAGAAAAAGAACTACATCCAAAGTTAGAAGGAGGAAATAGTAAAGATTAGAGCAGAGATAAATAATGGAGAATAGAAAAACACAAGAAAATCAACAAACCCAAGAGTCAGTTCTTCAAGAAGATTAACAAAATTGACAAACCTTTAGTTTGACTAAGAAAAAAGGACAGAAGAAACAAGTTACTAAAATCAAAATTAAAGTGGGGACATGACTATCAATTCTAGAGAAATAAAAAGGATTATAAGGGTGCACTGTCAACAACTATATGCCAACAAACTGGACAACCTAGATAAAATGGGCAAATTCCTAGAGACACAAAATACTGAATTGCAAAGAAATACAAAATCTGAATAGATCCATCATTAAGGGGACTGAATCGGTAATCAAAAACCTCCTGACCAAAAACAAACAGCCCTGAACCCGTTGGCTTCACTGGTGAATTCTACCAAACCTTTAATGGAGAACACCGATCTTCTTCAAACTCTTTTAAAAAATTGAAGAGAGCACTTCCAAACCCAAGTGATGAGGCCAGGCAGCGTCATGCTGACACAAAAATCCTAACTCAGTATCTGAGAATAACAGCAGCATTTTTTAAAAAGTGGAATACATTCACTTATGGTGTCATCACATGGATTTTAAAATTCCAAGATATCTATTCATGTTCTCTCAGGCGACCACCCAGATATTTGCATTTTTGCCTCAGTTCGCTAAATGGCATGGTTTTGAGTTTTTATAATACATTTTTTTTTTCCCCAGCAAAGTCCTCCCCCAACAATGATGCTCACCAAGGCCATGGCACCTAGCACACTGTCCTGCACATAAAATGCCCTCAAAACCCATGGAATGGGGTTGATCCAGGAATAAAACAAGCAGTAGAGATCGGTTTGTGCAAAGATAGTAAGTAGGTACCACAAATAAGACGGAAAGCCTACAATTCAGCAGCAAACATTTTACATTTATTTGAGAAATTATTTGCAACTAGGTCATCAAAAGATACTGGTTTAAAGCAGTGGGTTTGCAGCCTTGACCACACAATATAATCACATGGAGAGCTTTAAACAACACTGCTGCCTGGGTCCCACTCCAGGGAATCCAATTTAACAGGTCTGTTGTAGTTTGGGTTTTGGGAATTTTAAAAGCTCCCCAGGTGATTTTAATGTGCAGCCATGGATATGGATCACTGGTTCAGGGTGAGAGATACATTAGCTGTGTGTGATTTTCATGTGTGCCCCATGGCAGTTCCTCAGTTTGGGGTCTTGGATACAGCTTTGCCCTGTTAAAATCAAAGGACTGCTTCAATACACAGTCAGCTGTTTGGCTAAACTGCAGCAGGTGGAAATGTCTTCTCAGCAGATCTATCTTTATGTTGCTTGCTTTTCAGAGTAAGAGGTTGTTTCAGGCACAGTTTGATTTAGCTTGCTTTGAAAATCATAAATAGCCTACAAATACCAAAAATGGATGAAAAGAATTTGCAAACATATGGAGTGCATTATATATGTTTTCAAATTTCCCCTATAATTAGAAATAAAAAATATATTGCTGGAGCCTTGATTCCTAAACTCAGCCCTCAGCTGTTTCCCTAAGTTATTTTAAGTTCTTCCAAGACAGTTCAGCTTTCTCTGGAGGGAATTATACCCAATGGGTATAAGTGAAGAGCCCTAGATGGGCATTTACGGAAGTGTCACTCTCCAGAATCTTGAAGGCCTAGGGGAGATGCATGAGTACTATGGTCTATACAGGTGTCTGGGCTTTGGAGTCAAGTATAGTTGATACTACTGAGTCACAGTCTAGTCACTTAGTAACTTCAAGGTTTTGAATTTGATCTGGAACTATTAGGTAAATCTCACCTGCAAGAAAAGGCATAATGATACTGATTGAAAAAATAATAGCAATTCTTCATACTTCCCTATCTATGCCCTTTGCAATGAGATTTTATAGCTGCTCCCATAAACAGACAGAATTTGTTTCCCCCAGTCTTGTATCTGGGTTGCCTTATTTACTCTGGCCAACAGAATGCAGAGAGTATGACAGTGTGCCAGTTTCAGGGTTAGGCTCAAAGATCTTGAATGCTTCTGTTTTTTCTTTCAGAACCCCGCCATCTCCATGAAAACAAGCCCATGTTAGCCTGCTGGAGGAAGAGATACCATAAGCAGGAGAACCAAGGTACCCCAGTTGACAGCCAGCTCACCCCCAGAAGCAGAGCTAAACATACACACATACACACACCACACACATAGAGCTGAGTTGAGACCAGAAGAATGGCCCAGCTGAGCCCAGCCTAAATTGCTAACCAGCTCAATTATGAGCTAATTAAGTTCTGGGATGGTTTGTTATGTAGCAATAGCTAACTCATACACACACCCATTGCAGATGGGACTCAATGACATGTTGATTACAAGTTACTGGTAAACAGCAGGCCCCCTCTATGTTCTGATTTCCTTTCCCTCTTACTAAAGTTGGATCTCTTGGGTTGTACAGAAATGCATATAGACATGTGTGTATGTGACTGGTGCTTCAGCTCACACATTTCCCCACTCCAAAGAGGAAACAGACAATCATAGCTTGGCCACTCAGGCCCCAAGGCCAAATTGCAAAATAAGAAATTTGCTTTTCCAGATGCAGTGGCTCATGCCTGTAATCCCAGCACTTTGGGAGGCCAAGGTGGATGATCACTTGAGTCCAGGAGTTCAAGACCAGCCTGGGAAACATAGCGAGACCCAGTCTCTACAAAAAGTACAAAAATTAGCCAGGTGTGGTGGCACACACCTGTAGTCCCAGCTACTCAGGAGGCTGATGTTGAAGGATCACTTGAACCTGGGGAGCAGAGGTTGCAGTGAACTGAGACTGCACCCCAGCCTGAGTGATAGAGTGAGACCCCGTCTCCAAGGCAATAACAACAATGACAAAGTTTGTTTTTAGTCTATTCCTCCCATATCTAAAGTCTGCAGGTCAAAGCTGTGAATAGATTGGAAGCCATGAGATTCCCTTCTCCTGGGAACCCATCGTCCTTTGATCACTTCCATTTTTCACAGATTCTCTTCTTCTGATGTGATTAGGTAATGAGGCCAAGATTAAATTTGAAGCTCTCAGAGACCACAGGATTTTTCTTTCCAAGGCTTACCAGCACTTTTAGTTTCTAACATCACAAATACTAATTGTGGCCCAGTGCAGTGACTCACACCTGTAATCCCGGCACTCTGGGAGGCTGAAGTGGGTGGACTGCTTGAGCCCAGGAGTTCAAGACCAGCCTGGGCAACATGGTGAAACCTCATCTCTACAAAAAATACAAAAATTAGCTGGGTATAGTGGTGTGTGCTTGTAGTCCCATGTACTTGAGAGGCTGAGGTGAGAGAATCACCTGAGCCTGGGAGTTAAGGTTGCAGTGAGCTGTGATCGTGCCACTGCACTCCAGCCTGGGCGACAGAGTGAGACCTTGTCTCAAAAAAAAAAGAAACACTAATTGCAGGACACAACTGGGACAAAGAACATGATGAATTGAACCTGAATTCTCACTGCACCTAATATTCACAAGCATGTACATTACTAAACAGTGACATATCTCCCAACAATTCCAGCAAGTTCCCAAGACTTGTCATCCACACCAGGTATTAGACTGAGAGGGTGCCCCTCTACTTGTAACTGGGATTAAAATGGGACTGGTTTGATGAATTCAGGGAGACAGAGGCTAAAATATTACGAACGGAGCAAAGCTTTATAGACACATTAAATAAAAACAGCTCTAGTGAAAGCAGTGCAATGGCCAAGGTTAGCTGACTCAAGGCAACTTCCTTTTTCTTTTCCAATAAACAACATTTTCAGGGAGAGAAGCCCAGGCTGGATGTAAGAATGCTTTGATGACTGCTCAGGAACATGACTGAATTCAAGATGAATAAAAGAGATAAAATCCACATTTTAATTGTAAACAAATGTGTCCCTGAAAAAAACTCAGATCCAAAAGTCTATGTATGTGTTAATCAAATGCAAGAAAATTTTACAGTGTGCGTCACTTATTATGTATTTCTTTTTCTCAACCCCTCCCGTTTTTCAAACATCTAAAGTTACTAAGTATGTACTTACTTTCTAGGGAGGAAAAAAACCCAAAAATAGAATACCTCCCATTGACTTCAGTGTGAACATTAATACTGGAAAATTAGATTTTCGTTTCCTATTTTGTCTGTATTGTTACCTTTTAAAAAGACAAAGATGCAGAGTTTTATATGTGAGATAGAACATTGTTTTTTTATTTTTAATTGTGGTAAACTACACATAAAATTTACCATCTTAACAATTTTTTTTTTGAGACAGGGTCTCCCTGTCACCTAGGCTGGAGTGCAGAGGCACAATCACGACTCACTTGACTTCCCTCACTTGGGAGGCTGAGGTGTGAGGATCGCTGGAGCCTTGACTTCCCAGGCTCCAGTGATCCTCCTACCTCAGCCTCCCAAGTAGCTGGGATCACAGGTGCGTGCAACCCATGCCCGGCTAATTTTTGTATTTTTTGTAGAGACGGGTTTTTGCCATGTTGCTCAGGCTGGTCTTGAACTCCTGAGCTCTAGCAATCCACCCTTCAGCCTTGCAAAGTGCTGGGATTACAGGTGTGAGCCACCAGACCCGGCCTCCATCTTAACTATTTTTAAGTGTACAGTTCATCAGTGTCAAGGGTGTTCACATAGTTGTACAACCAATCTCCAGAGCTTTTTCATCTTGAAAAACAGAAACTCTAGATCCATTCAAAAACTGCACTTTTTGGTAAAAACAAAACAAAACAAAACAAAACTCTGAATGTAAAATGCTTCATTTCTTCACTTATTAGTCAATAATTGCAGTGTTCGCATTCTATGCAGAATACCCTTCCAGGAACTAGGAACTGTGGAGAGATGGAAAAGAGATAACAAATGCACCTATGAGATGGAAGGTCCCCGGAAGGCAGGGACGGGGCGACCCTGTATCTCTGGTTCTCCCTAAAGTTCCGCACCTAGTGCTGTGGCCTTCCGTGTGCACATCCATGCCCCCCGTGTCCAGACTCCCTGCTTGAGCCTGAGCCCCGCCAGCCCCAGCTCCCGCCTGTGAGGGGATATCCAGGCTCCTGGGGCCCACGTCTCCAGGTGCTGGAATTTGGGGATTTATGGCGTGATGTTCTTCCCACATCCCTTTCATCCTTCCGCTCAGTGCCTGCACTGGCCAGTACCGGCCTTTCCTTGCCCACAGCTCTGCTTATTCTGCTCCAAGCAGCTCCCCTCCCTTCCTCCTTCCTCCTGCTGTGTCTCTTTTCAATATGTGTGTTCCCTTCCCTCAGTAGAATAACTCTTCTTCCACTCCCTGTCTCATTCACTGGGAACCAAAAATCCACTCCATGGCATAGCACTCCCAGTTTTGAAAAAAGTTGCTGAGATCGCGCCACTGCACTCCAGCCTGGCCAACAGAGTCAGACTCTGTCTCAAAAAAAAAACAAAAAAAACAAAAAAACAAGGTCACATTCTGGAACAAAAACCAGCGTCATCCACCTCTAGAGATGTTAGAAGTAATTGAAAGTCCTTTAGGATCTCCAAAAAAACTTTTCTTTCTCATTTCCTTCTGGCTCACGCCTATAATCCCAGCACTTTGGGAGGCCGAGACGGGCAGATCATGAGGTCAAGAGTTTGAGACCAGCCTGGCCAACACAGTGAAACCCCGTCTTTATTAAAAACACAAAAATCAGCCGGGTGTGGTGGCATGCACCTGCAGTCTCAGCTACTCAGGAGGCTGAGGTGGGAGAATCGCTTGAACCCGGGAGGCAGAGGTTGCAGTGAGCTGAGACCATACCATTGCACTCCAGCCTGGGTGACAGAGTAAGATGCCATCTCGAAAAAAAAAATTCCTTCTAATTAAACTATTTTCCTCAAGCACCAGTATTCAAGATAAAAAATTTTTTAAAACAATTATGATGGTAATAAAAGGAATAAAGTACTGACACAATGCTGCAACTTGAATGAACCTTGAAGATATTTTGCTATGTGAAAGAAGGCAGTCACAAAAGTCCACATAGTATATGATTCCTTTTATATGAAATGTCCAGAAAAGACAAATTTACAGAAAGTATATTAGTGGTTGCTTAGGGCTGGAGGAAGGGATAGGAGGGTGACAGCTAAAGGATACGGGGTTTACGCGTTGTGGCTCACGCCTGTAATCCCAGCACTTCACGGGGCCGAGGCGGGTGGTCCCTTGAGCTCAGGAGCTCGAGACCAGCGTGAGCAACATGGCGAAACCCCATCTCTACAAAAAAAAAAAAAAAAAAAAAAAATTAGCTGGGCAGAGTGGGGCGTACCTGTAGTCCCAGCTACTCAGGAGGCTGAGGCAGGATTGCTTGAGCCCAGGAGTTCAAGGCTGCAGTGAGCCAAGACTGCACTCTAGCCTGGGTGACAGAATGATACTCTGTCTCAAAAAAAAAAAAGTTATAAAACTGACTGTGGTGTTGGCTGCACATATCCGTGAATATATTAAAAACCACTGAATTGTACAGTCTAAATAAGCAAAATGTAAGGTCTGTTAACTATATCTCAAGACAGCTGTTCAAAAAATTTTTTAAATTATGAACTATTTTATATACACAAAATTGTATATGTATACATATATGATATAAAGAAAAATAAAATAAATACTCTGCACCTATCATCTGCCTAATAAATACAATTTCACCACCACCCACGAAGCCTTCTGCATGGCCTCTCCCAAATATAACCCTTTGCCTCCCCATCTAGGAGAACCATTCATCTAAAGTTTAAAAATTATTCCTGGCCAGGTTGGTGGCCCACAACTGTAGTCCCAGCTACTAGGGGTGGAGACGCTGAGGTGGAGGATCGCTTGAGCGCAGAAGGTGGAGGCTGCAGTGAGCTGAGACTGCACCACTGCACTCCAGCCTGGGTGACAGAGTGAGACACTACCTCAAAAAAAAAAAATTCCTTTGACTATCATTACAGTTTTACTATATATGTACATATGTCTAAACAATACAGTTTAACTTTGTAAGTTTTTAAACTTTTCTATAAATGTATCCGTTACACTTGCAAAATGCATTTTTCAGTCAACACTGTTTTTAAGAGCCTTCTGTGTTTTATTCAATTCTATGTATTGTTTACGAACCAACAATACTCTAAATTGAAGATACTGAAATCTACCTCACAAAGGATTCATGTGAGATAATGAATATAAAATGCTTATAGCAGTGCCTGATTCATTATAGGTATTATATATGTAAAATACTATATGTTAATAATTGTGTATATTATAGCAATTGTCCTTTCTCTGTGAATGTGTATTAATATTCTTTCATCAACTACATTAGCCCTTAACAGTTTTCAAAATGTAGTAAAATCCAAGTTACACAGGCCTTTGGGAAATGCCTCATTCTAGATATTGAAAGTTTCTGTATAGCTAAGATTTGAGTTTTTCGTGTACCAATTCATTTTCATGTACCAATTCATATACCAATGTTATGTTTTTAAATTTAAACAAATTAAAAGAATGATCTTTATGAAAAAATTTCAGCCATTTCCAAATTCTCTTCCAAATTTCTTTATGAGCATGTGTGACAAAGCTTTAATCAGACCACAGACTGTTTTGTGTTCTGCTTTTTTTTGAGACAGGGTCTTGTTCTGCCACCTGGGCTGGGGTACAACGGCGTGATCATAGCTCACTGCAGCTTCAAAGTTCCAGACTCAAGTGATCCTGCCACCTCAGCCTCCTGAGTAGCTGGGACTACAGGCATGCGCCATCAGGCCCAGCTAATTTATTTTTATTTTTATAGAGACAAGGTCTCACCATGTTGCCCAGGCTGGTCTCCAACTCCTGGGCTCAAGCAATCCTCCCACCTCAGCCTCCCAAAGTGTTAGGATTACAGGCATGAGCCACCATGCCTGGCCATGTTCTGCTTTTAAGGCATGACTTCATTTGTGCACCTCCGTACAGCGATATGGCCTATGGAGCTGCCATGGTTAATGTTTGTGTCCTTCACTGATCTCCACTCCAGTCACGGAGAGAGCAGCCCAGGAGAAAATGACACTGTCTAGTTCTTAGGTGGGTCATACATTCTTCTTGGGGGCTGTCTTAGTCCATTTGTGCTGCTATAAGGGAACATCATAAAATGGGTAACTTATAAACAACAGACTTTTCTTTCTCACAGTTGTGGAGGCTGGGAAGTCCAAGATCAAGGCACTGGCAGATTCAGTGTCTGGGGAGGGGCCGCTTTCTTGTTCATTAGATGGCATCTTCTCCCTCTGTCCTCATATAGAAGGAGGGGAAAGGCAGCTCTCTGAGGCTTCCTTTATAAGTGCATGAATCCCATTTCTAACCTCCCAAATGCCCTACCTCCTCATACCATCACATTGGTGATTGCATTTCAATACATGAGCTTTGGGGGAACACAAACATTCAGACCATAGCAGGGGCCATTATTATTATTATTATTATTTTATTATTATTTTTGAGATGGAGCCTCACTCTGTTGCCCAGGCTGGAATGCAGTGGCACCATCTCGGCTCAGTGCAACTGCCGCCTCCCGGGTTCAAGCAATTCTCCTGCCTCAGCCTCCTGAGTAGCTGGGATTACAGGCATGCGCCACCACACCCGGTTAACTTTTGTATTTTTCGTAGAGACAGAGTTTCACCATGTTGGCCAGACTGGTCTCGAACTCCTGACCTCAAGTGATCCACCCGCTTTGGCCTCCCAAAGTGCTGGGACTACAGGCATGAGCCACCGTGTGTGGCCCACAGGCCATTAATTTTCTCCATTGCAGCCATTGGTGCCAGTTTCCACTCTGCTGTCTGAGGGCAGTTTCAATCTGTAAGCCAACACCAGTTGATTTGTAGCAGCTGCCTAGAACCCTGTGCTGACAGGAACTGTGAGGTCAAGTTCAGGTTCAGCAGGAGGGCGGCCTCTGATTTAGCACAGTTGTCTGCAATAGATACATTTCCCTGCAGTCTGCTCCTAACTGTAAAGAGATGATGTTAAACAACTCCAGGGCAGTGCTAGGATCCTAATGAACATAACCTGATCACTCCCTGTGTTTCTGAGTCAGACAGCTGTCTCCTTTCACCAATACGGCCTGTATATGGTTATGATACATTTACAAGCACAGAAGTTTATGGACACTGTCATTGTGTTTTGGATTTGCACCCTGACCCAGGCATTAATTTATTTAAAAGAATATTTTAACATTGTCAAAGAGTTGAGCATCTTTAAATTGTTTCTTTCTCTGTTTTTTTTTTTTGTTGTTGTTTTTGTTTGTTTTTTTGAGACAGAGTCTCACTCTGTTGCCAGGCTGGAGTGCAGTGGCAAGATCTTGGCTCACTGTAACCTCCACCTCCCGGGTTCAAGTGATTCTCCTGCCTCAGCCTCCCAAGTAGCTGGGACTACAGGCGCATGCCACCACACCCAGCTAGTTTTTGTATTTTTAGTAGAGACAGGGTTTCACCATGTTGGCCAGGATGGTCTCGATCTCTTGACCTCGTGATCCACCCGCTTTGGCTTCCCAAAGTGCTGGGATTACAGGCATGAGCCACAGCACCCGGCCAATTCTGTTTCTGTTCTTTCTAACTTTATTGCATTATGGCCCGGAAATGGGATGTGTAAAATTTTTGTCCTTTTATATTTACTAAGTCTATATTTTTTTGTTTTCAGAATATGATCAAAGATATTTCTATTTCTTTGCAAGTCTATTAGCTCAGATTTTTCAAAATTATGTTACTATTTTGGGTATACATATAGATATGTTTTGTTTCATGTGCTTTTTTTTTTTTTTAACCATTTCTGGCTTTTCCATCTTGCACTTTTCCTTCCATACCCTGTGCTCTAGATTCTATGATCTAATATCTGTTTGTCAGTTAAGACTGCTTTCAGCTCTAGAGACCAGAAAATCTGACAGACAGAGTGTGAATAAGCAAGGGAAGGAGATGAGGCTGAAGAGGCAGGCTCAGGCCAATGTGTAAGCTTTTATTCCATCACAGTGAGAAGCCAGTGGTAGGGTCTAAATGGGGCTGTGGGGGTATATTATGTTTTTCATGTTTTTAAGAGATCACTCTGGATGCTGAGTGGAGAATGGACTGTGGGAGGGCAAGAGAGGCAGCAAGGAGAAGGTTTGGAGGCAGTCTTGGGCAGCAGGCCAGTAAGTGACGAAGGTGGCTGAAACTGGCTGTAGAAACGCAGAGAGCAAGAAGAGGCTGCAATCAGGATGCGTGCTGCAGGCAGGGCCACAAGACTTACTGTGGGATTGCATGGCGGGTGAGAAGGGAAGAAGTCAGGGGTGAGTCCTTGTACTAGAGTCATCTGGATACTCCGCTCAGGGAAGAGGCGCCACATCTAGGGGTTATCAGCAGCCAGAGAGGAGGACTTAAAGCTGCAAGACTCTGTGGGGTCTCTCTTGAGAAGAGGGCAGTTTATATCTCTCAATACATTTTTCAGCTGATATTTACATAGATAGAATTTATTTTGCATCTTCAAAATATGCAACATTTTAAACTAAATGGTTTGCTGGAAAAGCTTCACGGTGCTTCCAAATACAATTGGTAGACCATCAGGATCACACCAGTCACTTTGTGGAGTTTTGGAATGTCGACAAAGGAGAGGTACATCCGTGATGTTTCAGTCTTGGGCCACTGCTACCACACACAAAGCAACTGTCTGGTGACAATTACATTAAATATGAGGTGACCAAGAAGCAATGCTTTAAGCCTTTTACATCTTAACATGTTATTAGTAGCTGTTATTTATAAAACATCTAGCTGCCATATTGTGATCTAGGAAATTAGTAGGGTTTTTTTTAATTAACTTGCCACGCCTTATAATTCTGCTGTTTAAAATAATGGGAAACAGGTTCTCATTAGGTTTTTCCTTGGAAAGAAAATGTGACATTTCAGTCATAGATTACATTTTGACTTTTTTTTTTTTTTTGAGACAGAGTCTCACTCTGTCGCCCAGCCTAGAAGTGCAGTGGCGAGATCTTGACTCACTGCAACCTCTGCCTCCCAGGTTCGAGTGATTCTTCTGCCTCAGCCTCTTGAGTAGCTGGGATTACAGGCATGCGCCACCACACCCTGTTAATTTTTGTATTTTTAGTAGAAAGCGTTTCACCATGTTGGCCAGGGTGGTCTTGAACTCCTGACCTCAGGCGATCTGCTCGCCTCGGCCTCCCAAATTGCTGGGACTACAGGCGTGAGCCACAGCACTCAGCCAGATTACCGATGTTTTTAGTGGCAGATGACTTTCCGGCCTTGTCTTAGTTTTAATTTTTTTTTTTGAGATGGGGTCTTACTATATTGTCCAGGGTGGTCGTGAACTTCTGAGTTCAAGTGATCCTCCCACCTCAGCCTCCCAAAGTGCTGGGACTACAGGCGTGAGCCACTGTGCTCGGCCAGATTACTGATGTTTATAATGGCAGATGACTTTCCAGCCTTGTCTTAGTTTTATTTTTATTTTTGGAGATGGGGTCTCACTATATTGCCCAGGCTGGTCTTGAACTCCTAAGCTCAAGTGATCCTCCCACCTCAGCCTCCCAAAGTGCTGGGATTACAGGCATGACCCACTGTGACTGGCTTAGTTTTAAATTCTTAATTATTTACCTTGTAAACTACTTAATTCCATTTCTTCCACATCTCATAGAAAAACTGATGTTCCAGGAAGATGTATCACCAATATTCTGCTGTTTTGTATCCTGCCAGTGCAGAATTGGGGCTGTGCCTCTCTAGTTTGAGAAGCATGTAGTAACATACTTGATTTTGCCCTGATCAGTAACGTACCGCATGCTGGGAGCCGCAGTCTCTTAACCGCTCCAAGCCCGTGACAGAAAAACGAAATGGAAAAATGACTTAGGAGAATTATCACTATTAACCCCCAGAAACAACACATTATTAAAAGCGGTTCTGAAGGGCTATTTAAAAGGGAACTCAATAGTAGTTTCAAAGGAGTCCTATTGTAAGGCAAAAATTGTGCTTTACCTTCCCGCACAACCTTCCCTAATGTTTTGGGAAGGACTGATACAAACTTTTAGTCCTGTTGGCCTGTGTTAATAATGGCCAAGAGGTCCCCAATGGGTAACAGAGTCCTGTGAACCAAACAGTGTGAGAAGTCAGAAAGCAGCTGGGTGTGGCCCCCAAAGCAGCTTAGGGGGTTACTTAACTGTGCGGCTACATTTCTTGACCATATACTAAAGGAACTGGGCCTTTCCATGCGATGTTTTCCTTTTATAACGGTGGCAGGAAGCGGTCCCTCTGAGGGGCCTGACCGAGGTATGCGCCGGCGCCAGGCTGGGGTCCAAGGGGCGCTCCGAGGCGGGGCCCACAGAGAGGGTTTAGGGCAATTCCAAGGGATGGCGGGGACGGAGGAAAAGTGGCGTTGAAAAGGCAAGAGCCAGGTTCCCAGCCACTGGGACAGTGAATTTACAGCTTCAGACATCCACCAAAGAGCGGCTGCGTGGGCTCCTAAGAAGTCTAAGAACTGCTCAGAAATCCAGCGCCGCCATCCCCACTCCACCGCCGCCAGGGGCGCACAGCAGCGGGTATGCGGCCGGAGGGAAGGGGCGGGGCGGGAGGAAGGGGCGGGGCGTGCCCCGCCAGCGGAGGCCGGGAGGACCAGGAACCCAGGAGAGCATGGCCACGCTGCGCCGGCTTCGGGAGGCGCCGCGGCACTTACTGGTTTGCGAGAAATCCAACTTCGGCAACCACAAGTCGCGCCACCGGCATCTTGTGCAGACGCACTACTATAACTACAGGGTGAGTCCGGCTGTCCTCGGCTTTTCGGGCCGTGCTCAGTCCCCGCGTGCGAGAGAGGTTTGGGGAGAGTGCTAGGCTTCGCGGGGCGGGGCCGCCGGCGGTACGCGGAGGGGCGGGGCCCTCGCCCGGCTTGCTGGGAGTTGTAGTCTCTTAACTGCTCTAAGCCAGTGGCTTGCAGGGCTACAGGACTACAACTCCCAGGATGCGCCGGGCGTGGGGGCGGTACCCAGTCTGGAGGGAGCTGTTGTCAGGGGCGTTCTGGCTGCTCACTCGTGTCAACCCGCCGAACTGGGAGTGAGTCCAGGGAGGGATTCGAGGTTCAGGGCCGGGACCAGGGAGTTAGGCTGTGGGGCAGCCACGTGCACCTCGCTTTTTCCCCAAATCAGGGCGGGTCTCGCGCCTCCTCCCCACCACTGCCTCCTCCCCAGCTTGAATCCCTCTCCCACCTGCGTACCTGTGGATCTCACCAGAGCATCCTGCCTAGGCTCGGCCCAGGAAGCGACTGATTTTCCTTTTTTTTTTTTTTTTTTTTTTAGACGGAGTTTCGCTCTGTCGCCCAGGCTGGAGTGCAGTGGCGCGATCTCGGCTCACTGCAGGCTCCGCCTCCCGGGTTCACGCCATTCTCCTGCCTCAGCCTCCCGTGTAGCTGGGTCTACAGGCGCGCGCCACCACGCCCGGCTAATTTTTGTATTTTTAGTAGAGACGAGGTTTCACCGTGTTAGCCAGGATGGTCTCGATCTCCTGACCTCGTGATCCGCCCGTCTCGGCCTCCCAAAGTGCTGGGATTACAGGCGTGAGCCACCGCGCCCGGCCGAAGCGACTGATTTTCTAAATTGGTTGTTGGAACTAATTTGATATCTGAGAGACTTCAAGAAACTAACCTTATCATGGGGGATTAAACATTTTACACTTTAAATGGATCAGCTTAATAACTCAGGTTTGACTGAGCAGTGTTTCAGAGATGTTAAGTGGTGACCTGATCAGTCAGAACAGGCTGGTGTTTGAGCCTTGGGACAGTGATGACTTTTACAATGTGGCAACATTTGAAGCCTGCCCTGTTTTTAACACCTATTTTGGATGTCAAGCTCATCACAGCAGTCAGGGATGTATACTTTAACTCGCCTGTTGCATTTTTCTGTCTCGAAAATGAAAACATACAGGAGCACCATTGCTTGCACATAGATTCTTAGTAATTGGATGTCCATAAATTAATTCCTTATGCCCCGACAGATAGTTTGTTTCATTCCAGGATAACACCAGGGTAAACAAATCAAGGGATATTCAATTATACTATATTTCCTTGAAAATAAAATAGTGAAAGGAACAGGACATAAAATATACAGCATTGCTAATTTGCAAAAGATTAAATGCAAGCACGAGTTTTCCATTAAAAGTATTCTGTTCAATCCCCTTCCTGTACTGTACGTTTGAATGCAGAAATGAAAAACTTAAGTAGTCAGATTTCTCTTTGCCTGAGATAGGTAAGTTAACATAAGAGTTTTGTTGCCCGTGTTTTTATGTTCCAGTGAAACTCGTGGAGAAATAACAACTTTCATGATTTTGTTTCATTCCTAAAAACCTGGGTGTTCATCTTCATGGAAGTAAGACCTTGTTTGTATTACACATTCCAATAGGTTTCATTTCTCATTCCTGAATGTGGGATACTATCGGAAGAACTGAAAAACCTGGTCATGAACACTGGACCCTATTACTTTGTGAAGAATTTACCTCTTCATGAATTAATTACACCTGAATTCATCAGTACCTTTATAAAGAAAGGTAAGAAAAACCTGAAATGGCTGTGAACAAGGCTGGATGAGGAAGGGTAGGGAGACCACATCACGATGCTAGGGCTGTTGTTTTGTTTCAAACAGGGCCTGTGGTATAGTCTGTGTGGTCAGGTGCACACGCGTTCTCCCCCGCATTCTCATCCTGTTCTTTCTTGTACCCTCTTTAGGTGGTGGTTTCTGATTGCAATTGGCCACAAGTGTTGGATGGGGATGTTGTAACATGACAGTATCCGTCCCCTTAAAATGAGGATTAATGGAGAGGAGAGACTTGCAGTCTGTGTTCAGATGCACTGCTGTTGAAGATGTGGCTGCAAAGACACTATGCTGTCAGCAGTCCCACAGCAGCTGTCTCAGAGGGTTGGTCTCCCGATACAGCCACAGCTACTGTTCACAGAGCAAAGTGCTTGTTGGGGTCCAGTGTCTTCTGCTTAGATTTTGTAGCCATAACCCCTCCTCTACTCACCCCATTTCCACCCATATCTGCTGGGTTGGACTGGTTTGTTTCAGTTGATTCCTGGGAGCCATTTGTTTGAAACTATTTCAGAGGGCCTTTAGGGATTCCACCCACACTACATAACTCACCTGTACAGTGGCCACATGCTTATCTTGTGGTAGCCCCCATGTGTGTCCTCTCCAGTGAAGATATGAAGAACTCTAGTTACCAGTAGCTCCTCTCATTCTGACACTGCTGGGGCGACTTATGAGCTGGGCATCTTGTCTGGTCTCATCACCGTTATTCCTTTCATCTATTTCAAGGCCTGACACCACTCTGTGAATTACGTGGACAATGGCTGTAGCAGGCACTGTTAAATGTCTTACCAAATTTAACCCTTGCAACAACTTTATGAAGCAAGCCTATGATCCTCATTTAACAGTGAGGAAACTGAGGCTTGGAGAGGTTGGGTAGCTTTTGAATCTTAACCTGGAACTCTGTCTCTGAGAGGTGTATGTTTATCTAGAATTCTACTTTGGACCCCTCTCCGCGCATCCCCAAAGGTCACGTTCCGTTCTGAGTCAGTTTTTTGCTTGATGATAGTAAACTTGCACAAATAGGCTGTTGGTCAGGGAGTGAACTAGCTGGAGCTTGGTCTTCTGCAAGCTTGGTCTTCTGCATGCTTGGTCTTCTGCATGCTTGGTCTTCTGCATGCTTGTTCTTCTGCATGCTTGGTCTTCTGCATGCTTGGTCTTCTGCATGCTTGGTCTTCTGCAAGCTTTGTCTTCTGCATGCTTGGTCTTCTGCATGCTTGGTCTTCTGCATGCTTGGTCTTCTGCATGCTTGGTCTTCTGCATGCTGCAGCTTACCCTTAGCAGATGTTTGGTTTATTGAGTGAGCTGGAGCAGGGGTAGAAACTGACCTTTAATGACCCGGAAGACTGGTTATCTTGTAAAAATAATCCACTAACATCTTGCAGGTGTAATTTCTTGTTTTAAATTTTTCCTCTGTACTTTCTCTTCCAGGTTCTTGCTATGCACTAACATACAATACACATATTGATGAAGATAATACTGTTGCCCTGCTACCAAATGGTAACACTTTATTTTTTCATCTTTCTTTAATTGTTAAAAAAAAATGCATACTGTAAAAAAAAAAAAAAAAAAGTCAGCTGGGCACGGTGGCTCACGCCTGTAATCCCTGCACTTTGGGAGGCCAAAGCAGGTGTATCACCTGAGGTCAGGAGTTCGAGACCAGCCTGGCCAACATGGTGAAACCCTGCCTCTACTAAAAATACAAAAATTAGCCGGCGTGGTGGCTCATGCCTGTAGTCCCAGCTCCTTGGGAGGCTGAGGCAGGAGAATCGCTTTGAACCTGGGAGGCGGAGGTTGCAGTGAGCCAAGATTGCGCCACTGCGCTCCAGCCTGGGAGACAGAATGAGATTGTCTGAAAAAAAAAAAGAAGATATTCAAAAGAATGAGTATACCATGACTTATTTATTTCATCTTTAGTAGAAATTCAGATTATTTTAAATTTCACTATTATAAATAATATCCTTGGATGTATAATGTATAAATAATATCTGTTACAAGACATGTATACACATAAATAATATTCTTGTGATATAAATAAGATCCTTGTATGCAGTTTGTTACATTGATATCTAACTGCTCAATTTGCCTTGCTTTCTTTTAGTCAGACAACGTAAGTTCTAGTTTTGGTATCTTATGGGAGTTATTATTTGATTTATAGGGAAATTAATTTTGTCACTGGATAAAGACACTTATGAAGAAACTGGACTTCAGGGTCATCCATCTCAGTTTTCTGGCAGAAAAATTATGAAATTTAGTAAGTATCATGTGTGTTCCATCTGTTTCTAATCTTCTTGTGGCAATTTAAATTTAAATGTTTGAATTGCCTCTAATCTCTTTGTTCAAAAAAATGTGGCCTTTTAAAAAAAATCTGTCAAACTTCTGACTCGAGCTTCACAGAGGATAGGATGATGCTTTTAAGTTCATTTCTTTTCAGCTGTAGATGCATTTAATAAAGATTGTAGACTTGGACTGGTCAATTAAATATATATGTTTCGGGTTAAACCTTGGCAGGCCAAGGCGGGCGGATCATGAGGTCAAGAGATTGAGACCATTGTGACCAACATGGCGAAACCCCATCTCTGCTAAAAATGCAAAAATTAGCTGGGCGTGGTGGCGCATGCCTGTAGTCCCAGCTACTCAGGAGGCTGAGGCAGGAGAATTGCTTGAACCCGGGAGGGGGAGTTTGCAGTGAGCCAAGATCGCACCACTGCACTTCAGCCTGGCGACAGAGTGAGAGTCCATCTCAAAAAAAAAAAAAAAAAAAAAAAAAATTCCAAGTACTGAACCCAAGATAGGAGTCTACAACTTATTCTTAATAAAGAATTTCCTTTGGTTTCCCCAAGTCTTTATGATTACTAGTAGAAATTCACCCATGAGTGAAGAGATGTTTTGCTGACAGCGTCTGGCTCGAACATCAATAGCTAAGGCCGCCACATCCATAAGTAGATTAAACCTGACCTCTCAAGGTCCTCTGCCCTTGGTCTTTGACCTAGGAAACATATAAATTGAAAATGTCTGTTTTTATTAGCTCTCAAGGTTAGAAGTGCCCACCAAAGGGATCTTATTTATTTGGCAAACCAAAGGGAGTGGAAGAAGAATAAAATAATTTTACTATCCATAAAATTTCCCAAAATTCTAGTTTTTAAAAATGTAACACTTTTTCCATGGTAGAAGCTGTACGTATATGAATGAAATATATGTTCTTTTTTTCATTTTTAAAGTTGTTTCCATTGATTTGATGGAATTATCCTTAAACTTGGATTCTAAGAAGTATGAAAGAATATCTTGGTCTTTCAAAGAAAAGAAGCCATTGAAATTTGATTTTCTTTTGGCTTGGCATAAAACAGGTATGAGGAATAAATTATGTAATGATACAGTGATTTTGAAAGTAATTGTTAATTAAAGAGGAGTAATGGAGGATTGAATGGTGATTCACTCTTTAGTCAAGGAATATTCTATACGTATATATAAAAATATTATTAAGGAAACTAGCCCTTCTGACATCTCTGAAAACCATAGTTCAGGATCATGTAGGCACGCAGGCCTTTCTGCCTGCGTCTCTTTGGGTTATATGTAGATCCAGAGATCTTGAGAGTGGCTTCAGAGCAGCTAAATTTTATCTATTTCTCCCCTTTCCTCTCTCCAGCTTACCTTGAACAGCCTTGACTATAATATTTTTAAGTAGCACCAATTATATACACAATCTGCTTATTTATTATCACAGGGTACTGACTCAGGCCTACCATTAAATGTCAGATGAATTTATTCTAACTTTTAATTGATTAGGACACTAAATTTAGTTCAAAGTTTGCTATTCACCACACAGCGTAATCTGCCTAAAACGGCCATGTATGTTGCTCCTTTTAGAAGTGTATCTTTGACCCAGATAATAATGGATCAAGTCATCAGGAATTATGGTGTAGTACTCTCTTTTGGAGGATAGGAAGCATGGTGGTCTGTTTTAGAAATAGCCCCATCTGTCTGCTCCTCATGGGAAGTGTCTCGTCACTGGGTGCTCCAAGTTGCTCCCATGAGTCCTAGGTCTGGCCTTCGGTGCCTCTCCTTCCATATATGGTAGATAGAAAAGAGGGCAGAAAGGCTTATTGAAGTTTCAGTTGCGTGAAGTCTTCTATGCAGATCATCCAGACGTTGGATTCTGGATAGCTCCCTATTCCTAAAGCTCCTAACTATTTTAAGGATTTGTCAGGACTGTGAAAGTTCTGAGATTTCCTCATACTTGCAGGCTAACTAGGTAGCCTGCTACAGTCTCAGGGATGCTGGCAGAAGACACATAAGCCCTGGGTCAGAGACACAGGACTTAATTCCTCAGAGGAATGGTAGTAGCCAAAATGTATTAGTCAGGGTTCTCCAGAGAGAAAGGACCAATAGGATGGATGGATGGATGGATGGATGGATGAGAGGAGATTTATTAGGGAAATTGATCATGCAGTTATGGAGGCTGAGGAGTCCCACGACAGGCTGTCTGCAAGTGGGAGACCCAGGGATGCTGGTAGCCTGGCTCAGTCCAAATATGAAGGCCTGAGAATCAGGAAAGAAGATGGTATAATTCTCAGTCCAAGGCCAAAGCCTGACAACCTGTGGATCTGCTGGTGCAAGCCCCAGAGTCCAAAGGCTAGAGAACCTGGAGTTCTGCTGTCCAAGGGCAGGGGAAGAAGGGAGTCCCAGCTCCAAGGGACAGCGAATTCACTGTTCCTCTGACGTTTTGTTCTACCTGGGGCCCTAGCCGGGTAGATGGTGCCACCCACAGTGAGGGCAGATCTTCCCACTCAGTTTACCCACTCACCTGCCAGTCTCCTCCAGAAACACCCTCACAGACACACCTAGAAATAATGCTTTACCAGCCATCTAGATGACCCTTCATCCAGTCAGGTTGACACCTAAAATTAACCATCACACCGAATATCACCATTTGCACCAGTTCACCAAGTCCCATTTCCAGAGTGACACCAAGCGATGCTGGCACATGCAGTAGGTTGCATTACAGGAGAGGAACCTGGAGTTTAAGAACTCCAGTCCTTTGTAAGGGACAGTAAGCCTGCTGATATCTGCCCGGAGAGAGGGAGGGTGACATTATTTCTATTATACTGGACAGTAAGCAAGCCTGCCCTTTGCCGTGGAGGGAGTACTATCTCTGTCTTCCAAGGCCGTTGGCTACACAAACATCCCTGAAAAGATACGCTGGATTTTATTGGGTTTTCAAAGTCAAGCTGGGATGAGGTTCAATCACCATTCAGTTTCTCTTCTTTTTCTTTAATAGAGGTTGTGCAGATAAGCTCCTTCTCTCTGGAGTTCACTAATATTATTCATACATCAGGAATGCTTTTGGTTTTAAGTGTGAAGTTGAAATTTTTTTATTAGCACAAACAGTGAAACTAGTTTGGGTCTGATCAGAAACTGTTGTGCTTTTCCAGGAAAAGTGTGAAAAACGATGAACGTTTACAGAACTTGAGCAAAAGGAGCTGAAAGCAGCTTTAAATGATTTTAATTTGAATGCAGCTCTGCACAGCTTCCATCTTACTCAATCTTACCGCTCAGATGGGAATGGGTGGGTTCAGGTATTCACTAAACTTGCTTACGATGGTCAGATGGATTCAAATGGCCTTGTGTGGTGTGTTTTTAAGGTTCAGAAGAATCGACAATGATGTCATATTTTTCCAAGTACCAAATTCAGGAGCATCAGCCAAAAGTAGCACTGAGCACGTTGAGAGATCTCCAGTGCCCAGTGCTGCAGAGCAGCGAGCTGGAGGGAACGCCAGAGGTGTCCTGCCGGGCTCTGGAGCTCTTCGACTGGCTCGGCGCCGTCTTCAGTAATGTCGACCTGTGGGTATCTGAACTCCCTGTGTCTTCCAGGGCTCTGGCCTGCTGCTTGTTTTTAATAGGAGTTTAATACTTTGGAAGTGATCATGTGATGGATATACATGTGTTATCTCTCTCTCTTTTATTTTTTTGGTGACAGAAATAATGAGCCTAATAATTTCATATCAACCTATTGCTGTCCTGAGCCAAGCACAGTGGTGGCAAAAGCTTATTTGTGTACAATCACTGGCTTCATACTTCCAGAGAAGATCTGTCTCCTATTGGAACATCTCTGGTGAGAACTCTTTACCTTTTATATCGCTCATCAGTGCTCTATAGAACAGTATGTCGAATAGTATAGATTTTTTCATTTTGGGAGGTGGTATATAAATAAAATGTACATTGAAAGGAACTCAAATCGCCTATTGCAAAGACCGTACATTGAGTATAATCCTATTTAGTAAGCATATCTTCTCAGTCTTCCCTTTTGAAATGTCAGATTTAAGTCTTGAAGGTTTTCCTTTTTAAGCCCAACATCCTTTTTCACATTTATTGGTTTAGTACTTTGACTTTCTTCGATAGGAAGGCTGGATATGAAAAATCTGGTGAATTATCCTGCAACGTTTCAGTTAACTGAGACTCTGAGAACAGTACTCTTAATAGGAGGGAAAGGATCCTTAAACGCCTGTGGGGTTTTTTGTTTTGGGTTCTTTTTGTCTTAAAGACCTCCCAGAATGAGGGTGGGAACAGCTGAGGTTTGTTTCATGTGTTGTATATTAGTTAATCCTTATGGAGTTCACAGTGTGACATCAGGAACTTATCACACACCTCTTGATTTTCAAAAATTAAAGCTAAGATCTAAGCTTTATTAGAATATCAGAAATACTACTTATCCTGAATAAATTTTTTAAAATGCAGACATTCCTAACTCTCTTTTAAAACTCTGTTTAACAACTACCTTTTTTTCAGTCACTACTTTGATGAACCGAAGTTAGCTCCATGGGTTACACTGTCCGTTCAAGGCTTTGCAGACAGCCCTGTTTCTTGGGAAAAAAATGAACATGGTTTTCGAAAAGGAGGAGAACATTTATATAACTTTGTGATTTTTAATAATCAGGACTATTGGCTTCAGATGGCTGTTGGGGCAAATGATCACTGTCCACCATAAAAAATAAAAATTAAAAATCGTGTTTACTTACATTTACGCTTGCTTTCAGATTTCTTAATGGTAAAAGGTCTGTGTGTCCACTCAGGCTTGTGTGATGGTGACATTTCTCAGATCAGCATTTGCTGGCATCCTGCCCTGCACCTGAGACCCATCTGTGATGGCAGCAAGGCCTGCTGTCCAGTGAATAGCTCATAGTTGATTTCTCTCTGTCAACATAAGCACAGGGTTGTGGGTTACTATGTGGTACACTGGGCCAGGATGTCCAGGGACCGGGGATATTGGTCCCCATCTCACTCCATTGGTTGAGATATATTTTGTTCATTACAACTTTTTCAGATAATAAAAAGAAATCTCATCCTTACCAGGGCCAGTCCCTGTTGTAAGTGCTGTTTATATATTACCATGTTAGAATCTCACACCAACCCTTTGAGGAAACTGAGGCACAGTGTGTAAATACACTACCGAAGTTATAGTGGCAGTGGACCTGAGACTTGATCTCAGGCCAGCCTAGTTCCTAAGTGTGTTCTCACGCTAATGCCTCTGGATCAGAGAGGGATCAATGGATACTGTAAATCGTTACAGAACAGGTTGAAAGAATTTTATTTCCAGCAGTAAGGCTGATAAGGACCAGTTGAAAACAACTAAAACTTTAGAATACATATGAAGAACCATTTTTTTTTTATTATACTTTAAGTTTTAGGGTACATGTGCACAACGTGCAGGTTAGTTACATATGTATACATGTGCCATGTTGGTGTGCTGCATCCATTAACTCATCATTTAACATTAGGTATATCTCCTAATGCTCTCCCTCCCCCCTCCCCCCACCCCACAACAGGCCCCGGTGTGTGATGTTCCCCTTCCTGTGTCCATGTGTTCTCATTGTTCAATTCCCACCTATGAGTGAAAACATGCGGTGTTTGGTTTTTTGTCTGAAGAACCATTTTTTTAATGTAAAAAACAAGAGCTGCAAAATAAGAGTTCTTAAAGGGAAAAAAAAATTTTTTTTTTTGTAAATGGAAGCAGAAACCCAAAGAAGTAAGTGGAGTACTGACGCCACTTTTCCGCCTTAGTGCATCTGCCAAATGCCAAATTGAAGTTTTCTTCTCATAGCCTGGGGTGGGAAGGGGCTGCAGAACAGCACACAAAGCTCAGGGCCTGCCCAAGGGAGGAAAACTAACAGGAGACCTCATAAAGTGAGACTCCAAAAGGATAGATGCAATGTAGGGGTAAACTAGGAATAAATCCATCTGCTTCACCCATCCCCCCAACCCCTGTGAACAGCAAGGAAGATTTCTGTCCTGGGGGAAAACATCTTACTTGAGAGCCTATATATAACCACAGGATTTATATATAACAGCAGTTTTTAGGGTGGCTTGTTTGCACCACCTGGATAGTCTTAAAAAATCTCAAGAGGGAAATTTCAAGTGATAACAGGATTTTACTGCCTTACAGGTAACTGGCAGAAGCAAAACAGATTGTCTTTGGAGGAACTCGGAGAGTTTCAAGGAATGTAAGTTCATAGAAAAAAATCACAAGTGTAAAATAGACAAGAACCAGCAGAAACAAGGGGCAGAAGCAGGCCGTTAAGTCTCAGAAAGACTTAAGATGTTAAAGTTAGCAAGCACATCCATAAAGTATGCTTTATGCTTACAGAAATAAGGAGGGTTAAATGGCATGAGTATAAGAACAACGAAGCAGATTGTAAAAAGTGCCAAACAAATCTAGGAATGAAAAATATAATTGAAATTGCAAATTCCACTGGTTGGTTTAACAGCAGACTAGACGCCACTGAAAATAGAATAATGGATATGAAGAAATTAAGATCTTTTCAAATTTGCAAAAGCTGAAAGACTGTCACCCACAGGTCTGCACTGCAAGAAAAGTTAAAGGATGTCCTTTGGGCAGAAGGAAAATGCCTGCCTTCTGAAGGAAATAAGCACTGGAAATAGTAACAACATGGGTAAATGTAGCATTTATTATTTAAACCTCTTTAAAAGACAGTTATTTAAATAAAAGTCATAGTGTAGGATTTATAATATATGTAAGAGTAAAATGGATGACCACAATAGCTTGAAGATTAGGAGAGGAGAATCATGCTATTGTAAAGTTCTCATACACAAGGTGACGTGCTACCATTTGAAGATAGAGTGTGATAAGTTACAGATATGTGCTGTAAACCCTAAAGCAGCTGCTAAAATGACATACCAAAAAATCATACCTATTAAACTATCAAAAGATAAAATGGAATTATTTTAAAAACTTGATTCATCAAAAAGAAGACAGAAAAAGAGGTAAAAGGGAATAAAGAACAGTTAGGATGAATCGAAGACAAGTAGCAAGATGAGAGACTCAACCTAAGCATATCAATAATCACATTAAATGTGAATAGTGTGAACACCACCAATTAAAAGGCATAGATTTTCAGACTGGATTGAAAAAAACATGACCTAATTATATTCTGCCTACAAGAAATGTACTTTAAATAGAAAGATACAAATACTTAAAGGATGGAAAAAAGATATGCTAACACTAGTTACATGAAAATTGAAGTGGCTATATTAATCAAAATAGAGCAAAAAGTAATTCCCAGCATATTAGTCAATTCTCGCACTGCCATAAAGAAATATCTGAGACTGGGTAGCTTATAAAGAAAAGAGGTTTAATTGGCTCACATTTCTTCTTCTTCTTTTTTTTTTTTTTTTTTTTGAGACAGAGCCTCCCTCTGTTGCCCAGGATGGACTGCAGTGGCGCAATCTCGGCTCACTGCAACCTCCACCTCCTGGGTTCAAATGATTCTCCTGCCTCAGCCTCTTGAGTAGCTGGGATTACAGGCATGCGCCACCATGCCTGGCTAGTTTTTTTTTGTTTCGTTTTTTTGTTTTTGTTTGTTTTTCTTTTTTTAGTAGAAACAGGGTTTCACCTTATTGGCCAGGCTGGTCTCGAACTCCTGACCTCGTGATCTCTCCACCTCAGCCTCCCAAAGTGCTGGGATTACAGGCATGGGCCACCACACCTGGCCTAATTGGCTCACGTTTCTGCAGGCTGTGCAGGAAGCACAGTGGGCATCTGCCTGGCTTCTGGGGAGGCCTCAGGAAAACTCAATCATGGCGGAAGGTGAAAGAGAAGCATGGCCAGAGCAGGAGGGAGGGGTGTGGGAGGTACCACACACTTTTAAACAACCAGATCTTGTGAGAATTCTATCACTAGAAGAGCACTAAATGGGGGAATCCACCCCCATGAGCCAATCACCTCCCACCAGGCCCCAACTCCAACACTGGGGATTACAATTTGACATGAGATTTGGGCAGGGACACAGACCCAAACCGTATCACCCAGGATTAAAGAAAGTTATTTCATACTGACAACACACACCTCATAACAAAGCTTCAAAACACATAAAGCAAGAACAACTAGAACTTCAAGGAGACATAGATCAACCCACTATTATCAGACGTTAATACCCCACCCTCAATAATTGACAGAACAAGTAGGCAGAAAATCAATAAGAATAATAAAGTAGACTTCAGCAATTTTATCAATCAACTTGACCCGATTGACATTTACAGGACATTGCATCTTACAATAGCAGAAAATTTTTCTTGAGAAAATGGAGAAACAACTCAATTTTGTTTCTTGAGAAATAACTTGAGAAAAATTTTTAGCTGTTCAAACAAAAATCATAGTACGGGATTTATAATATATGTAAAAGTAAAGTGGGTTAAGAGTTTTTCGCAAGTACACATGGAACATTTATAGAGATGGACTACATTATAGACCATTTAAAAAGTCTCAAATTCAAAACATTTGTCACATAAAGTATGTTGTCTGGCCACAACGGAATTAAATTAGAAATCAATAGCAGAAACTAGAAAAGAGAAAAACTCAAAGTAAGCAGAAGAAAAGGAATAATAAAGGTCAAAGTGGGACTTAATGAAATTTTTAAAATAGAGAAAAATGAATGAATCAAAATTTGGGGAGTTTGGGGGGGAAATTTTTTTAAATTGAGAAATCTCCAGCCAGGTACATATATCAGGGAAAAAAGAAACAAGACACAAGTTACCAATACTAGGAATGAGAGAGGTGGCATCACTGAAGAGCCTACAGATAGAAAAGGATAGTAAGGAAATATTAGGAACACCTTTATAGCAATAAATTCAACATAGATGAAATTGACAAATCCTTTGAAAGGCACAAATTACCAAAGCTCACCCAAGAAGAAGTAGATGATCTGAATAGCCCTATATCTGTTAAAGAAGTTGAAATTACAGTTTAAAAACATGTAACGAAAATCTAGGGCTAGGCGTGGTGGCTCGCACCTGTATTCCCAGCATGTTGGGAAGTTGAGGTGGGAGGATCACTTGAAGCCAGGAGTTCAAGGACAGACTGGACAACATAGCGAGATTCCAAAAAAAAAAAAAAAAAAATTAGCCAGGCATGGTAGCACATGCCTGTAGTCCTAGCTACTTGAGAGGCTGAGGCAGGATGATTGCTTGAGCCTAGGAATTGAAGGCTGCGGTGAGCAATGATCACACCACTGCACTCCAGCCTGGCTGACAAATCAAGGCCCTGACTCAAAGAAAGGGAGAGAAGGAGAGAGAGAGGAAGAAATATTTTCCACCTCATTATCTGAGGCCAGAATTATCCTAGTGCCAAAATTATCCTAGGACCCTGGCCAAACAAACATGCTACCAGGAAAGAAAACTACAGATCAACATTTCTCATGAACATAGGGTAAAATTCTAAGCCAGTTTATCAAATTGAGTCCTACAAGATAAGAAACAGGTAATAAAACATGATCAAGAGGGAATATCCAAGGAGTGTAGGGTTGACTTAACATTTGAAAAATCAATCAATATAATTCATTGTATAAACAAGCTAAAAAAGAATAATCATATAATCAATCAATACAGAAAGGCATTTGACAAAATCCAGCATTCATTACTGATAATCAAGAAGGTTAGGAATAAACAACACTTCTTCAATCTGATCAAGGGCATCTACAAAAACCCTACAGCTAACATCACACTTAATTGTGAAAGACAATATTCCCCACCTTCCCAACGTCAGGAACAAATCAGGGATGCCTGCTTTTACCGCCTCTGTTCAACATTGTACTGAAGGCTTTAGACTGTGCAATCAGAGAACAAACAGAAATAATGGACATCCAGGTTGGAAAGAAAGAAAGAAAAATGTATTCACAGATGACATGATTATTTATGCAAAATTCAGCGGACTCTACAAATGAGCTACTAGAACAAATAAGTGAGTTTGTCAAGGTTGCAGGATACAGAGTAGTGTACAAAAATCAGTTGTATATGGTAGCAATGAAAAATTGATAATTGAAACAAAAAATCAACATTTGCAATCACATAAACAATACTACCTTTGCAATAGCATAAATACCTGGGATAAGTCTGACCAAAAAAATGAGAAAAATACTGTACACTGAAAACTACAAAATACTGATATGATAAAGAGACCTAAATAGATGATATACCTTGTTCATGGGTCAGAAGACTCAATATTGTGAAGATGTCATGTCATATTCCCAAAATATAGATTCAATATAGATTTAATACAATCACAATCAAAATCCCAGCAGCCTATGTGTGTGTGTGTGTGTGTGTAAAATGACAAACTGATTCTAAAATGTTTGTAGAACTTCAAAGGACCTAGAGTAGCCAAACAACTTCACAAAAGAAGAACCAAGTTAGACGACTAATATTACTAGATTTTTAAGGAGTTATTCTAAAGCAACAGTAATCAAGACAGTGTGGTATTGACATGAAGGATATACCAATAGATCAATGATATAGGATTTGTGTCCAGAATGTAAAGTACTTTCAAAACTCAGCAATAAGAAAACAAACAAACCAAATGGAAAATGAAGGAAAGACATCAACAGACATTTTACCAAAGAGTCCACTTAAACTGCAAATAAATGAGTGAAAAGATGTTCTAACATCATTAACCATTAGGAAAAAGGCAACTTAAAATCATGATATCACTAACTCCTATTAGAATGGTTACAAAGGCAAATTAAAATCATGATATCACTAACTCCTATTAGAATGGTAAAAGATAGTGATAACATCAAATTCTGACAACTATGCTGAAAAACTTTATCTCCCGTATATTACTGGCAGTAATGTATAATTTCACAGCCATTCAGAAAAATACCTCCCAGTTTACTTATAAAAGAAAACATGAAATTACCATATGATCCAGTAATTTCACTCTTGGGCATTTATCCTGGGAAATGAACTTATGTTCACACAAAAACCCATACTCAAATGTTCATAGCAGCTTTATGTGTAATGAGCAAGACCTAGGAAAAAAACAAATGTCCTTCAGTGCGTGAATGGTTAAGCAAATTGTGATCCATGAAATACTGCTTAACAATAAAAAGGAGCAAGTTATTAACACACCCAATAACTTGGAAGGATCTCAAGGGAATTATATGGAGTGAAAAAAAACCCAGACCAAAAAGTTACTATTGTATGATTCCATTTATATAACATCCTTGAAATGAAAAAATTGTAGAAATGGAGACCAGATTAGTGGTTGCCTGAGATTAGGGATGTTGGGGGTGGGGAGGGGTCAGTGTGGCTGTAACAGGGCAATAAAAAGGATCATCATGGTGATGGAACTCTTGTATATCTTGACTGTGGTTGTCAGTACATGGACCTACACATGAAATAAAACTGCATAGAACACACTCCACCGCCGCCTCTGACACACACACTACAACTAAGGAAATGTGAATCAGGTCTGTGGATTGTACCAGTGTCAGTTTCCTAGTTTTGACAATGTGCTACAGTTATATGAGATGTTACTACTGGAGGTATAAAATGTTACACAGGACCTTTCCGTATGATATCCGCCACTTCCTCTGAATGTATAATTGTTTCAAAAGGTAAACACAACTTTAGGAAAGAGAAAAGGTGATAGGAGGAGGGAGGCCCATATAGGTATATGTAAATTGCTGTCCTGACTCAAACTTCCTTGCAGAATGGATGATTCCTGTGGATTTATTACAATATTCAAATAAATAAATGGCCATGCACAGGAACACTGATGAAAATGGGTCAAAATCAATGCAAAATCACAGTGGTTATTCCAACCCTGTGCACTGAGCCTGGAGGAAGTCTACAGGGGGTGGAAGGGAATGAGGGTGGGTGGATGTCTTCAGTAGATGGAGTTAGTCCTGGATTTCCTGAGGATGAGAAGCAACTGGGAGCATAGCAACAAGCAAAACAGAAAGAAGGCAGGTAGTGCTCAGAACACAAGGCTGCAGCATGAACCGCCTTTTGCACCGAAGCTAAGGCTGGTCTCTCTCTGAAAAAGGCAGGCAGCCAGGGGCTGGCCCCAAGGACAGTGAGGTGGGGCACAGGGCTGGGCTCTGCAGCAGCCTGTTCTGGCGCCCAGCCTCTGCTGGGAAGGAGTTGTGGGCCAGTCTGTGGGGAGGAATGCCTAGACTGGTTGAAGAGGGCTGTGGTGGAGCAGGATGTGGAGGGCACTCGTGGTGAGCTTCCAAAAACCTAGGATCAATCCCCAGGACTCCCCTCCCATGTCTCCTTTATGCCCCCAACCCCAGCCATTGGCCATCCCCCTGCTCTAGCTGGGGCAACCTCCTTCAGTAATGTTGACCACAAAATTTTGTATCTATTTTTAGCAAAGCTACTCTGTATATGACTTGTTGAGCATCACATTACCTGCCAAGTGGATATCTTCTCTGGGACGAGATGCTCTCTTTGCCCATCTGTTATGGACTGAATGTTTCTGTCCCCTGAAAATCATAATGCTGAGGCCCTAACCCCAGTGTGATGGTCTTAGCAGGCAGGCCTTTGGGAGGTGGCTGGGCTTAGATAAGGTCGTCAGGGTGGAGCCCCCACAGTGGGATTAGTGTCCTCACAGGAAGGAGATGAGACCACAGCTCTCTTGGTCATGTGAGGCTACAGCAAGGACATAGCCATGGAGAAGTCAGGAAGGGAGCCCTCACCAGGACCCCAGTCATGCTGGCACCCAGCTCCAGGGACTTCCCAGCCTCCAGAACTGTGAGAAATCGGCTTCTGTTGTTTAAGGCATGCAGTCTACAGTATTTGGTTATGGCAAGCTGAGCTAAGCCCCCATCTCTGGCAGTCACATTCAGAGGGAACAGTGATATCCATCCAGGAGCATCTACCACCTCCCCTCTCCACTAACCACTTAGCCACACCCATCCTTACTGCCAAGAGGTTCCCCCCCACCCCACTTTCTTCATTAAGACTTTTTTAGAGGCCAGGTATGGTGTCTCACCCCTATAATCCTAGCACTTTGGGAGGCTGAGGCAGGTGGATTGCTTGAGCTCAGGAGTTCAAGATCAGCCTGGCCAACATGGCAAGACCCTATTTCTACAAAAAATACACAAATTAGCTGGACATGGTGGTGCATGCCTATAGTCCCAGCTACTCAGGAGGCTGAGGTGGGAGGATGACCTGAGCCTGGGAGATAGCGGCTGCAGTGAGTTGAGATCACACCACTGCACTTCAGCCTGGGTGACAGAGCAAGACCCTATCCCCCCCCCAAAAAAAAGACTTTTTTAAAAAACAGTTTTAGATTTATGGGAAAAAAGCAGTACAGAGAGTTCCTATGTACTTCCCCCAACACACACACACACACACACACACACACACAATTTCTCCTAATATTAACATCTTTCATTGGTATGATACATTTGTTACAGTTAATGAACCAATATTGATACGTTATTATTATCCAGGATCCAGACTATATTCAGACACCCTTAGTTTCCCCCTGAGTCCTTTTCCTGTTCCAGCTCCCTCCAGGACCCCACATTCCATTGAGTCCTCCTGGCTGTGAGTGTCTCAGGCTCTCCTGGTTTTGGGTGGTCTTTACAGTTCTTCAGGGTGCTACTCAGGGGAACTGTGGAATGCCTCTTTGTTGCAATTTGTCTGATGTTTTTTCTTGAGATTAGATTGGAGCTTTGGGTTTTGGGGAGGAAGCCCACAGAGGTAAAAGGCCATTGCCATCACCTTATTTCAAGAGCAAATAGTCTCAACGTGATTTAGGGCTGTTGCTGTTGACCTTGATCAGCTGGCCGAGGTGGTGGTTGTCAGGCATCTCCACTGTGAAATTACTCTCCTCTGGTCCCCTTTCCATTCTGTCCTCTTTGGAAGGAAGTCACTATGTGCGGCCCATCCTTAAGGAGTGCAGAGTTCTGCTCCCCTCCTTTAGGGTGGAAGAGATACATAAGGTATTTCAAATTCTGCAGCGGAGCTCTCTTTTCCCCCACTCATTAATGTATTCAATCATTTATTTCTATCAGTATGGACTCAAGGATCTTTCTACTTTGTGATAATCCAATTCTAATACTGCTTTCTTTATTTTGTAGCTCAAACTGTTCCAGCTGTGGCCATTGGGAGCTCTTTCAGTTGGCTCCTGTGCTCCTTCAACATAAACCCATCAATGGGGTGTGTGTGTGTTTACTGTTATGCTGAGCACTTCCTTACTTCCTGGCACCATAAGATGCTCCAGGCTCACCTCACATTTCCTGCCTCAGTCCTAGAATCAACCATTTCTCTCAGGAATCTTGGTTCCATTTCTTTTGGAAAATGGCACTAGACACTAAGGTCTGGGTGCTGGGTGTGCTCACGGATACTGAGGTCAGCCAGGTGTTTCTCATACATTGTTGTCAGGTTATGTTCTGACCTACACTCTCCACTCCAAGCAAACTGCTCTTGTATTTTCCGATTCTCAACTTGGCATTCCCATATCTATGTCTTCCTCACCTCCAACCCCAGCCCATCACTTCCCCAGGGGGTTGTCACCTCCTGCATGATTCCCCAGCAGAAGTTGCCTTTCTCTTCTCTGGAGCACTCTGCACACTGAGGACACAGCCTGCTCGTTTTGTCTTGGAGCTTCTCCACCCTATCTTCAGGCTCCTCCTTGGCTCTAAGTCTTGAGGGCAGGTCAGTGTCTCCAGCCGCTGACTCTCCTGAAGTTTCTAGCTCAGTGACTCATGCATCCAGGACCGCTTGGACCTTGACAATATATCACCATCCTGAGGAGTCCTGTCACAAAGGACTGAGAAAGCTTCCAGCTGCTGGGTTCTTCCTCCCTCAACCTGATGGAACCAGCCCAGCAGGAAGCCAGGAAGGCGGTGTTGTTACAGTGTGTTACTCTTATAATCTGTAAGAATGCACACCAACAGAGAGGAAGTGATATAACAAGGAACTTAGGAGGTGTCAGTTGAAGTTGGAAATAAGATAAATTGCTGTTAATTCTCTTTAGTCATCCCATATTGACTCATGTTTTCAAACTATCTATACCTGCCAGTTAATACCATGTTAGACTATCTTCCATTTTAAAGAAAAGACTGGCCAGGCGCAGTGGCTCACGCCTGTAATCCCAGCACTTTGGGAGGCCGAGGTGGGCGGATCACGAGGTCAGGAGATCGAGACCATCCTGGCTAACACGGTGAAATGCCGTCTCTACTGAAAATACAAAAAATTAGTCAGGCGTGGTGGTGGTCGCCTGTAGTCCCAGCTACTTGGGAGGCTGAGGCAGGAGAATGGCATGAACCTGGGAGGCAGAGCTTGCAGTGAGCCGAGATCATGCCACTGCACTCCAGCCTGGGCGAAAGAGCAAGACTCCGTCTTAAAAAACAGACAAAAACAAAAACAAAAGACAGAAAAGACTGATATTAAAGCGGGGTTTTAAAAGACTGAGTTGAGGAAATGATATAGATAGGAAGAAAAACTTGTAAATCTTCAAGGAACAAGTGTCAAGAGGTTTCTGTGGAGAAAAATACTCTACAAGTTACCCAGGCAGTTCTCTTCGGTTTGGAGCAAGGGAACAGTAACACAGCACAAAACTACACCAGAAGCCCTCCTTTTAAGGAGCTAAGATTGTGCTGAATTCTCAGTGTAACCTGCTGGATCATGGGGAGTAGAGTGTCCATGCAAGCATATTCCTCAGAATACAGGTTACGGAAAATAGTTTCTCCTCTGGGTGAAAGTTATTCAATATTCGCTTTAGCGAAGAGGTCAAATTAAATTAGTTAGTTGGCAGCCAGTGAGATCCACCCAATTCCGAGGAAATGACTGAGGCCAAAGAGGGTGCTTTTCATCTCTTATAATTAGAGAAATAATGGTCTCGTTTTCCTGTGGCCAACATTGGTGTTGGCCCCAATGGCATGTTGCCCCTAAACCCAGGTGGCATTTTCACCACGAGGCTCCTTCATGAATTACTTGGGTCCATTGTAACGTGCACTGAGCACTTGGCCTACACTCCATCCAGTTCCTGTGGGGGCTGTGAGGACAGGAGGATGGGATGAACCTGCTCCTCCCTTTGAGGAGAAGACTTTTAAGGGGACTGCCATCCCTACCTTGACCTCATCAGTTCTTGGCTCAAGCTGATGTGCTAGACGGTTATCCCCAAGGAGGTGCATGAACACATGGAAAGAGACGGAGCCTTGAGTCAGCTGGGACCCTTTCCCCGGGGAGGAGAGCCACCCGGGAACTTCCTGGTCTTGGAGCTCCCCCTCCCTGACCTTTCTCCCATGCCTGGGCCCCAGTGTAGCTGTTTAGAAAGACATTGCTCAACAGCACACTGGCTGGAGCTTCACAAGCACCATTTTCCTGTAGTGGTGAATGGAAACTTTTCTTAGCAGAATGCTTGACTTTACAGAAGCAACAGTTTTCTCGGATAAAACTCCACGTGCAGTGATGGATTAGCAGCTCACATTGTGTCTATGGCGGCTTTCCTTGTTTTAGGACAGGGAGAGTCATGGAAAGGTGGCTGGACTTGGGGTAGAGCTTTTTTCTTTCTCTTTTAATATCCATGGGAGGGGGTTGGAGGAGAGACATCAGGGGCAAGCTGGGCGGGAACGAGCTGCAGGAGCCCACTGCAGTCACCTGAGCACCACTGGCAGGGAAAGCTCCGCGAGAAATGTGGGAGTGTCAGATGGTTCAGGGACTGGAAACACAGGCCATGCCTCGATTAGCATCTGTGAGCTCTGTCTGAGGAGAAAATACACACAGAAAAAAAATGTATATTCGGCCAAGCGCGGTGGCTCACGCCTGTAATCCCAGCACTTTGGAAGACCGAGGCAGGCGGATCACGAGGTCAGGAGATGGAGACCATCCTGACCAACATGGTGAAACCCCGTCTCTACTAAAAAATACAAAAATTAGCTGGGCGTGTTGGTGCGCACCTGTAATCCCAGCTACTCGGGAGGCTGAGGCAAGAGAATCGCTTGAACCAGGGAGTCAGAGGTTGTAGTGAGCCAAGATCGCACCACTGCACTCCAGCCTGTCGACAGAGCAAGACTCCATCTCAAAAAAAAAAAAAAAAAGTATATTCTTACAGATTTTGTCTTTCTCAACAGGTGAGGTAAGTTGGAGGCCTTTCTTTCATTTAGGAGGTGCTCACATCTGGCACACTGCATCTTAGTGCCTCTTGGCTCTCAGGCCACGCTGCACCCAGGGAAGATTGGGAGGCGTGAGAATAGGGGGCAGTCTCTTGGATCTATAAGCAGCCAGAATTTGTCATGTTTCTTTTAGGTCTCTAACAGGCCTCCATCTCTTTGTTCCCGAGGGAAAGTCGTAGGCATATAATGCCTTCTGAACTTCTAAAATGTGTCACTTTTTCTCAACTGGGAAACTTTGCCCCTATTTCATTTTAAAGTTATCAGAATAAAAGTACAGCTGGTATATTTGACTTCATAATAATAGCTGACATTTCTGAGCACTTCCTGTGTGTTCAGGCAGGCTGAGCGTCTGATCTACCCTCCGTCAGTTCATGCCCCCTATAGCCCCTCAAGGCAGGTTTTGCTCACACAGGAGAACAGAACATGCCGGTCCAGAACGCAAAGGATTGTAGATTGCGCTGAGGATAAGAAGCTGATGCAGGAGAGCTCCATGCCCGCCCTCTGTCTGCCAAAAGGCAGGACATAGATTGACAAAGAGAAAAGGTATCCTGTCCTGTCCCTGGCTCTGCCAGGGAGAACAAATTTTGCCACCGAAGACAGCTGTGGGCCCCCAGCAGCCTGGAGAAGGAACCACAGACAACAAGCTTTGCTGACGAACCTGCATCGGCCATGGCTTGCCTTCCCTCGAGTTGCTGCCCACAGAGACCCACAGTTCTGCTTTGTCTTGCTGCTTCTCCAAACTGTATTGTTCTTTGTTGAAGATGCTAGATAAGCCAGAGTTCTAAGTCCCTGCTCCAAGTGACCTCTCACTGAGATTTCTCCACACGGTGTGCACTGTGGGTGTTCATCAATTGGCTTATCTTTCTCTTGTTAATCTGGTTTTCTTCCACAGGGGTCTGTCCTAACTATGAACTTATGAGAGTTAAGGACAAATTCTATTTCCTCCCTGACACTCACATTTTACAAATAAGTTTAGAGAAACTAAGTAGTCTTCCCAAGGCCGCATGGCTAAGTAAGCAGTCAAACCAAAATTACTAATTAAGTTTGATTCCATAGTTGGAGTTTTTTCTTTTCTTTTTTTTTTTTTTTTTTTTGAGATAGGATCTCACTCTGTTTCTCAGGCTGGAGTGCAGTGGCACAATCACAGCTCACTGGAGCCTCAGCCTCCTGAGATCAAGCTCAAGGCTGGAGTGCAGAGGTGTGACCATAGCTTACTGTAACTTCAAACTCCTGGCCTCAAACAATCCCGCCCCAGCTTTCTGAGAAGCTGGGACTACAGGCACGCACCACCATGCCCAGCTAATGTTTATAGTTATTTTTGTAGTGACAGGGTCTCACTATGTTGCCCAGGCTGGAATACATGTATTTATTTAAAAAGGAAGAAAATCCTGAAACTGCCTTTGCAAAAATCATAATGGAGAAAATTATGACAGTGAAAGATACCAGATCTAACTGACCCCATCTTGTTTCTAACCTCTAAACTGTTCTTCTTCCTTCCTGGGTGTAGGCCAAACTAGCTTTGGGAAGAAATTTAGTGTATCGTTTATATAATAGCCTTTCCCAAAAGGCTAAACTGTTCTTGTAAACAAATGAAAGGCCACCAGCCACCAAGGTAAGATGAGAGGGGCTAGAATTCTAAATATTACCAGCCATTATGCCAGAGGACATAAGATTTACAACTTCCCCAATTACTCTTGAAGGTAACATCACTACTGTGAACCTAAGATCGGCCTTTTGAGGTGTCTTTTCAGGTTTTTGCATTTCTAACATCCAGACGGCCCTACCTGGACCTGCCAGCCAGTTCTGTGGCCCCCATCCAGGAACTGACCCAGCAGAAGAAAACAGCTTCGACTCCCTATGATTTCATCCCTGAGCCAGCCAATCAGCACTCCCGATTCACTGGCCCCCTACCTACCAAATTATTCTTAAAAACTCTGATCCCTGAATTTTTTGGGAGGACTGATTTGAGTAATAATAAAACTCTGGTCTCCTGCACAGCCGGCTCTGTGTGAATTACTCTTTCTCTATTGTAATTCCCCTGTCTTGATAAATCGGCTCTGTCTAGGCAGCAGGCAAGGTGAACCCCTTGGGTGGTTACAATTCTGACATGCTGCAACACAGATGAACCAAAGACATATGCTAAGTGAGGTAAGCCAGTCACAAAAGGAACAGTATTGTATGATTTCACTTATAGAATGAGCAAATTCATAGATACAGAAAGTAGACGAGGCCAGGCGTGGTGGCTCATGCCTGTAATCCCAGCATTTTCGGAGGGCAAGGGGGTGGATCACTTGAGGTCAGGAGTTCAAGACCAGCCTGGTCAACATGGTGAAACCCCATCTCTACTAAAATTACAAAAATTAGCTGGGTGTCATGGCAGGCACCGGTAATCCCAGCTACTCAGGAGGCTGAGGCAGGAGAATCACGTGAACCTGGGAGGCAGATGTTGCAGTGAGCTGAGATTGCGCCACTGCACTCCAGCCTTGGTGACAGAGCAAGATTCCATCTCAAAAAAAAAAAAAAAAAAAAAAAAAAAAAGAATAGAGCCAGGTATGGTGCTGTGCTCCAGTAGTCCCAGCTACTTGCAAGGGTGAAGTGGGAGTGTTAACTGCCCAAAGGGTTATAATATCATGTCATCTACAGAGACAACTTAACGTCTTCCTTTCCAATGTGGATGCCCTTTATTTCTTTTTCTTGCCTAACTGCTTTGACAAGGACTTCCAGTACCATGTTGAATAGAAGTAGTGAAAATGAGCATGCCCGTCTTGTTCCTGATCTTAAAGGAAAAGCTTTCAACTTTTCCCCATTGAATATGATGTTGACTTTGGCCTTATCATATATGGTCTTCATTTTGCTGAGGTGGATTCCTTTTATACCTAATTTGTTAAGAGTTTTTATGATCAAAGGACATTGAATTTTGTCAGGTGCTTTTCTGCATATATTGAGATGATCATATGGTTTTTGTCCCTCATTCTGTTAATGTGGTATATCACATTGATTGATTTGCATATGTTGAGCCATCCTTGCATTCCAAGGATAAATCCCACTTGATCATGGTGAATGGTTCTTTTACTGTGCTGTTGAATTCTAGTTGCTAGTATTTTTTTAGGTATACAAACTATTAATTAACAGACAAGGCCTACAGACGTATTTCTTCTTGGACATACCGATGGTATGGCCCTGGTGGCCGGTGGTCTTGGTGTGCTGACCTTGGACACAAAAGTCCCAGAATTGGTGCGGTCCTTTATTGACCCAAATCTTGTTCAGTTTCTCCAGACCATTGGTCAGGACCTGGCTATATTTTCCATCGTCGACATCCTCCTGTCTGTTCAAGAACCAGTCTGGGATCTTGTACTGGCATGGATTCTGCATAATGGTGATGATATGCTCCACCACATCCTCAGTGAGTTTTCCTGACCTTTTGGTGAGGTCAATATATGCTTTCCTCAACACCACATGAGCATATCTTCAACCCACACCCTTAATGGCAGTGATGGCAAAGGCTATTTTCTGTCACCCACTGAATACTCACAAAATGTGCTGGAACTTCTCAAGGATCACTAAAGACATGGTGGCAGCATGAGCAGCAGTCTGTAGGACTTTGGTGTAAGAGTAGCTTGCTAGTATTTTGTTGAGGACCTTTACATCTATGTTCATTAGGGATATTGGCCTTTAATTTTCTTTTCTTGTAGTGTCCTCAGCTGCTTTGCTATAAGAGTAATGCTGGTCTCATAAAACAAAAGGTTTTATTTTTTTTCCCCAAAAAATTCCTTTTCTGATAAAGTGTCCTTGCCTTTTTGCACCAAGTCTGGCTCCATTGATGAAATAATAAACTCTGAAGCTGATGTCACTACTACGCTCCCAGGCACTTTAGGATGTTTGACATTTTATTTAGGAGACAGTTTCGTTTTTCTACTGAATGATTACAAAGAAATCATTTTCCATGCAGCATACTTGCTCTCAATCAAAACACTCGGATGTGATTTCAAAGCCTTGACACAGACCTGGTGGGCTGTGGATTTCCAGGAGGGGCTGACTCTGGACACTGTAGCCCCCTGGGCCTCCCCATATGTGTGTGTGTGTGTGTGTGTGTGAGAGAGAGAGAGAGAGAGACAGAGAGAGAGAGAGAGAGAGAGAGAGAGAGGTCGAGCAGTGACTGTCAGCCCTGATTCTAGATTCTGGGTGGCAGCCCCCAGATCCTAAAGGGAGAATCTGCTGATCCCAGAATTCACCCAAGCTGGAGAAGCTTAGCTTTTAGATGCTGTGCAGTCTTCTTGCACTTTTCTTCTGTACACTGTGTAGATCCACATATGATCTCCAAGGACTGAATTCTGAGGGATGCCTGCAGTTCAAGGAGATTAAAGTATCAACAGTTTACCGTGTGCCAGGGAGCGCTAAGCAACTGTGTGAGTTTCCTTATTTAGTTCTCCCAAGGACCCCATGAGGTAGGGACACCAGTGCTCTCTCTTTTTAGCAAGTCTGTGCATTGAGCTTCTCGTTAGTTTTCAATTCCCACAACCATAGTTTTAAGTCAAGGCTTCCTCACTGGAACAACAGGCATAGAAGCGCTTGTGTCCCCTGACTCCTGGATATTGCTCTGAGGAGTCTGACCCAGCATCTGATGTGTGCTTGGCTGTGCCAAGACAGAAACTTTAAACTGCGGACATAGAAGAGGCTGGTCTCTAGCCTGGACACCATGCAGGTGACACTCAAATGACAGAGTAAATAAAGGGGATTCTGGGAATATGTATTCCTGGCAATAAATGACACAGAAAGAGTCGCTGTAGGAAAACACGACTCCCGCCAGACTGCACAAAGGGTGGAAAGAGGGAAGGAGAAAGGTGTGTGCTTGATTCTCCCTGAGAGTTGGAACAAGACAAAAATGCCCACTTTCACCACTTCTACTCAACATAGTACTGGAAGTCCTACCCAGGGCAATCAGACAAGAGAAATAAATAAAGGGCATCCAACTTGGAAAAGAGGAAGTCAAACTGTCACTGCTTCCTGATGATATGATCGTATACCTAGAACACCCTAAAGACTCTTCCAAAAAACTCCTAGATCTGATAAATGAATTCAGTAAAGTTTCACGATACAAAATTCATGTACACAAATCAGTAGCTCTGCTATACACCAACAATGACCAAGCTGAGACTCAATCAAGAACTCAATCCCTTTTACAACAGCTGCAAAAAATTAAAATAATAATAATAAAATACTTAGGAAAATACTTAACCAAGGAGGTGAAAGATCTCTACTAGGAAAACTACAAGGCACTACTGAAAGAAATCATAGATGACACAATCAAATGGAAACACATCCCATGCTCATGGATGGGTAGAATCAATATTGTGAAGATGACCATACTGCCCAAAGCAATTATAGATTCAATGCAATTCCCATCAAAATACTATCATCATTCTTCACAGAACTAGAAAAAACAATCCCACAATTCATATGGAACCAAAAAAAGTACACATAGCCAAAGCAACACCAAGCAAAAGGAAGAAAGCCAGAGGGATCACATTAGCTGACTTCAAATTATACTACAAGACTATAATCACCAAAACAGCATGGTACTGGAATAAAAATAGGCAGATAAACCAATGAAACAGAATAGAGAACACAGAAATAAAGCCAAATACTTACAGTCAACTGATCTTTGACAAAGCATACAAAAACATAAAGTGGAGAAAGGATACTCTATTCAATAAATGGTGCTGAGAAAACTGGCAAGCCACATGTAGAAGAATGAAACAGGATCCTCATCTCTCACCTTATACAAAAATCAACTCAAGATGGATCAAACACTTAAATCTAAGACCTGAAGACATAAAAATTCTAGAAGATCATATTGGAAAGGCTCTTCTAGACATTGGATTAAGAAAAGAATTCATGACTAAAAACCCAAAAACAAATGCAACAAAAACAAAAATAAATAAATGGGACCTAATTAAACTAAAAGGCTTCTGCACAGCAAAAGAAGTAATCAGCACAGTAAACAGACAACCCACACAGAGTGGGGAGAAAATATTCTCAAATGATGTATCTGTCAAAGGATAAATATCCAGAATCTACAAGGAACTCAAACAAATCAGCAAAAGAAAAACAAATAATCCCATCAAAAAGTGGGCAAAGGACGTGAAGAGACAATTCTCAAAAGAAGATATACAAATAGCCAACGAACATATGAAAAAATGCTCAACATTGGCGGGCGCCTGTAGTCCCAGCTACTCGGGAGGCTGAGGCAGGAGAATGGCGTGAACCCAGGAGGCGGAGCTTGCAGCGAGCCGAGATCTTGCCACTGCACTCTAGCCTGGGCGACAGAGCGAGACTCCGTCTCAAAAAATAAATAAATAAATAAATAAAAGAAAAAAGAAAAAATGCTCAACATCACTAATTATCAGGGAAATGCAAATTAAAACCACAATGAGATACCACCTTACTCTGCAAGAATGGCCATAATTAAAAAATTCAAAAACAATAGATGTTGGCATGGATGTGGTGAAAAGGGAACACTTTTACGCTGCTGGTGAAACTGTAAACTAGTACAACCACTGTGGAAAACAGTGTGGAGAGTCCTTAAAGAAGTAAAAGTAGAACTACCATTCAATCCAGCAATCCCATTCCTGGGTGTCTACCCAAAGGAAAAGAAGTCATTATACAAAAAAGACACTTGCACACACATGTTTATAGCAGCACAATTCACAACTGCAAAAACACAGAACCAACCTAAATGCCCATCAGCCAATGAATGAATAAAGAAAATGTGGTATATTTACAACGTGGAATACTACTCAAATGTAAAACTAAATGAAATAATGGCCTTTGCAGCAACTTGGATGGAACCGGAGGTTATTATTCTAAGTGAACTAACTCAGGAATGGAAAGCCAAATATCATATGTTCTCACTTACAAGTGGGAACTAAATCATGTGGACGAAAAGGCCTAAGAATGATGTAATGGACTCCAGGGGGAGTCCAGGGAGGAAGGGTGGGAGGGGGATGAGGAATAAAAGACCACATATTGTGTTCAGTGCACACTGCTTGGGTGATGGGTTCACCAAAATCTCAGAAATCACCACTAAAGAACTTATCCATGTAACTGAAAACCACTGGTTCCCCAAAAAACTATTGAAATAAAATAAAACTTTTATTTTTATTTTTAGAAAAAGAAAGGTGCGTGCTAGGAGGAAGGCGCCAGATTAAAGGCGTGTGAAGGGGCTGGCAGGCTGGGCTCGGAGGGGGAATGGGGCCTCCAGCTCTCAGCAGGGCAACAGTGGAACCACCTGGATGGCGGGACAGAGAGGAGCTCACAGCTCGTCCTGGACCCCATCCCCAGAAGAAAATGTCCCACCTGCTCCTTCCAAGACCACCTGGATGGCGGGACAGAGAGGAGCTCACAGCTCGTCCCGGACCCCATCCCCAAAACAAAATGTCCCACCTGCTCCTTCCAAGATGCAGGGGGGCTTTGTGCACAGGGCTTTGTGGGCTCTGTAGGAGTAAAGGTACCGAGTTTTTGCACCTCCCTGGAAATTCTCTGATAACTGCCACTGTATGCCCTGGTGTCAGCCGTCACCAGCCAGGATGAAGACTCGTGCCCCAGGCCAGGTCCCAAACAAGCTTGTGGCTAAAGGAATTTCACATATCTTTAGTCTCTCTCTCTCTGTCTAAAGTAAAGGGAAGAAGAGAGGCCCTTTGAAATATCTAGAAATATCTGAGCTAAATGTATGGGTAAAAATTCCTTTCACAAAATGCTATTTTTCAAAAGGAAGCAGGGTGTCTATTTTCACCAAGATGGATATTTCACAGCACTTTGGGATGTTCATAAACACTTTCTTGCCTTCATTTAGCCCAGGAAGCTGAAAAAGAGACAGAACTGAATGAATTTGCCTTGCTTATTCTTCCCTGAAAGATGGCAGACAGCAAGTTGCTGCTTGGCATAAACCCAAGACCTGCGTGATTAAATAATATATAACCATGGGGAGCCAGCAGGCACATGAATTGGTTTTCTAACAAGTGCACTTTCGGCCAAGAGGGTTAGCTGAGGTGCCTGCTCCCTGTCTCAGCCAGACCAGCAGCCTCGGGGCTTCCAAATACAGCCACTGTCTGCCCCAGGCGTATTCAAGATGGAAAAAAAAATGCACATTTAAAGGAGTCCAAATCTTATGTAAAAACAAGTCCACAGGTCCAGCTGGAATGGTCCTTCCAAAGAGGGAAAACACCAATTTAAATATTTGATTTGTATCCAAATCCATTTCATCAAAGACCTGGCACCCAGAACAGTCTGCCGACCCATCTGAGAAAGAATACAGACATTTCTGGTGTCCCTGAAAAGTAGCCTCAGCTCCCCAGGCCACCGGAGCCAAGAGCCAGAACCGGCTCTGAGTTTGGGGCATCAGATTACCCAGCCCCAGGATTACACACAGGCAAGTCCGGCTGAAACCGGAGCTGCCCCAACGCTTGCTTTATGCTGGCTTTGGGGCTTGAGCTTCCTCAGTCACAGCCAAACAGGGCCTGAGGCTGGGAGCTGGTGGGCTGGGAGCTGGGGCCTCCTGGAGAGCTGGGTCCAGCCCCTCGGTTCCAGCTTCCCTGTGCTTTCTGCCACTCTCCCTGGATCCTTCAGCGGCAGATTTTCGAGTGGTCCGGCCAAAGCCCAAGACAGTCACTGAATAATCGGCTGCAGTTTGCAAAGCCATTCCGTTTTGCAACTGCTGTTTTCATTCAGAATTTTCTGGAATTCCAATCCTCCCCCACCACCCTCCATGGTAGGTTTGTTTTTTTTTTTAAGTCTTCACACTTGGAAGGCACTTGGGCCTCTGAGGTGAGGACATGGGAAGGACTCGGATCTGCCTCCCCACTTTGGAAGGACACCCAAGACACAAAGGGACCGAAGGGAGGGCAAGATGGAGCATCCCAGCTGCTTCTGGGAAAAGACCAGGCCATAGAAATGGGAGAGCAGGGAGCACCCCACATCACAGCACTGCTCGACACTCGGCTATCCACCTCGAAAGCAAGATGCCGATCATCAAAAAGCAGAGCACGAGAAACAACCAAGTCATCAGACAGACAAATCTCCCTCCCTACCACGCCTGGCGCACAGTGGGTGCCCAGTCAATGTCAGTTCAGTCGAACTGTTTGTTGACAAGATCGCCTCACTGAGTACCAACTTCCTAACTCTCTTTTCGCCCGTTGGAAAGGTCAAGTTATTTGTACTTCATGGACTGTTCCGAGCAACTCTTCTGACACTTTTTAAAAAACAGCTTTGCTGATCAAGACCATTAGGGATATTTTGTCTCAAATATTCAAAAAATGCATGTCAAGGGGGAAAACTAACTCCATAGAAATCTTTCTTTAAAACAATTTATTTACCCATTATTTATTTATTTGAGACAGAGTCTCGCTCTGTCACCCAGGCTGGAGTGCAGTGGTGTGATCTCAGCTCTCTGCAACCTCCACCTCCCGGGTTCAAGCAATTCTCCTGCCTCAGCCTCCGAGTAGCTGGGATTATAGGTGTGCATCACCACATCCAGCTAACTTTTTGTATTTTTAGTAGAGACGGGGTTTCACTGTGTTGGCCAGGCTGGTCTTGAACTCCTGACCTCAAGTGATCCACCCACCTCGGCCTCCCAGAGTGCTGGGATTACAGGCATGAGCCACCACACCTGGCCTAACAATTTATTTATTTAAATTGTGGTAAAATACAGCGGAAAATGTACCATCTTAACTATATTTATTTTTATTTTTTTGAGAAAGTCTTCCTCTGTTGGCCCAGCTGAAGTGCAGTGGCACTATCTCAGCTCAAGCAATCCTTCCACCTCCGTTTCCTGAGTAGCTGGGACTACAGGTGCACGCCACCATGCCCAAAAATGTTTTGTGTTTTTAGTAGATACGGGGTTTCAGCATGTTGCCCAGGCTGGCTTGAACTCCTGGGCTCAAGCAATCCACCCACCTTGGCCTCCCACCGTGTACCATCTTAACCATTTTTCAGTGTGCATTTCAACAGTGTTAAGTGCCTTCACACTGCTGTGCAGCCGTCGCCACTATCCATCTCCAGGTCCTTTCCATCGTCCCAAACTGAAATTCTGTCCCATTAAACACTCACTTCTCACTCCTCCTCTCCCCGTCCCCTGGCAACCCCCGTTTGTCTCTGTGAAATTCACTACTCTAGGAACCTCACGTAAGTGCAAAAAATTGTTTTTTTAATTTAGAAAATATCTTGTGGCTAACGAGAGAATTATCAGCTGAATCCACAGATTTGACATTTCTGTTCCATGAAGCCACAGTGACACAAGCTCTGGTGTTCCAGGGTGAACAGTTCTTCCCTTGGTCACTATTCCTGAGGGAGTGACAGTCAGGATGCATCAGGGTTTGACACAGTCTCTGGGCAGGCTCCATGCTCTCCTGGAGATTTAACTCAGTGTGCTTGATGTGGGCCAACCTGGACCCCAGGTGGACACGCATGCTCGGCCAGTGGCTCTGTGACCCTACCTTTCATCCCTTCCCTCCCTCATTCCACGCTTCCCTCAGCCTGTGCCCTGCTCAAGTCCCTCCTGAGCCTGGAGACTCCTTCTCCATCCAGCTCCTGCCCACGGTCAGCTCCTGGGCTGCCCCATGTCCCCCCCACTCCCTCCAGGCCTGCAGCTGGCTCCTTTCACTCCCTCCAGGCCTGCAGCCGGCTCCTTTCACTCCCTCCAGGCCTGCAGCCGGCTCCTTTCCTCTTCTCTCCCCTTGTTTGTATCGAGCCCATCAATGACTTCCCAATGCCAAGTCCAGCAGGCCTGTTATAGGCTGAATTATGTCCCCCCAAAATTCACTGTTGAAGTCCTAACCTCTAGCGTCTCAGAATGTGACTGTATTTGGAGATAGGCTCCTTACAGAGGTGATTAAGTTAGGGTGAGGCTATCAGAGTGGCCCCTAATCCAGTAGAATTGGTGTCCTCATAAGAAGAGGAAATTTGGACATAGACAACACACAGGAGATTGAGACCATCCTGGCCAACATGGCGAAACCCCATCTCTACTAAAAATACAAAAATTAGCTGGGTGTGCTGGCGCGTGCCTGTAATCCCAGCTACTCAGGAGGCTGAGGCATGAGAATCACTTGAACCCGGGAGGTGGAGGTTTCAGTGTGCCTAGATTGCACCACTGCATTCCAGCCTGAGTGACAGAGTGAGACTCTGTCTCAAAATATATATATATACATATATATATATAGGGAGAGAGAGAGAGACAGAGAGAGAAGTGTAATATATATACAGAAAAACTACCAACCCTGAGTACACCTTGATGAATTGTCACAAAGTAGGCACACCTGGGACACCAGACCCGAATCAAGAAAGAGAATATTACCAGAGCCTCCCTCCCTACAAGCACCATTCCCCGAAGCACATCCCGAGTGAGTGTGTGAGGACACAGCAGGAAGGTGGCCATCTGTGAGCCAACAGAGAGGCTTCGGGAGGAACCAGCCCTGCCCACCCTTTGATCTTGGACTCCCAGCCTCCAGAACTGTGAGAGAAAATGTCTGTTGTTGAAGCCCCCGGTCTGTGATACTTTGTTATGGCAGCACACAAACAAACAAATACCAGGCTCCTTCTGGTCCTTGTCCTCCTTGTCCTCCCCTTTCCCTCTGCTTGCCCCCTGGGTGCTGCTGCTCTGAGATGACCCCTCCTCGCTGTGCCTGGCATTCCTCTCTCACAGTCCTGGCATCACTCACACACCCTTCCCGAGCCTCAGCTGGGTGTGCCAACTGCTTGCCAGACATTCGCTTAAGACAGCTCCACAGGCCAAGTCGAATCCAAGATCTTGGAGAGGCCAAGATCTCCAAGTCAGCCAGGTCAAAACAGAATGAGTGGCCCTCTTCTGCCATACCCAATTTCTTCTTGTTTCCAGTGTCACTGGCTCCTCTTTCCTTCAACCGTAACCAATCAAACACCGCGTCCTGATGATTTTACTTCAAAGGCATTTAACAAAATCCCTTCAGTGATTCCCTGTCACAGGACGAGATTGCAGCTCATCAATCTGGTAGACAAGGCCCCCCTCCAGTGCCCCACCACTCCGTGCCCCACAGCCCGGCTCCTGGAGGGCTACGCTGTCTCAAGGCTCTGGGACGTTCTTGGACTGTGCCTGGTCTGCAACACATTCTCGTTTTTCTTTTTCTTTTTCTTTTTTTTTTTACCATATCCTCTCTCAAACTGTTTATCCTCTAAGACTCAGCTTGGGCATGACCTCCTCCAAGAAGGCACCCCTGAATTCCCGGGCTGTGTTGAGTGCCCCTTCTTGATAGTTCCAACACATCTAGGGTGCCCTCATCATCATCATCATCATCACCAGGGTCTTGCCATCATCAGTACAGTTTATACAGCAAAATCATGTACTGAGCAATGGTCGTGTTGGGCACGTGTTTAATCTCATTTGACCCTTAAAACAACCCTGTGGAGGAGGTACTACCTTATCCTCAGTTCACAGATGAGGATACTGAGGCGCAGAGAAGTTAAGCCACTTGTCCAGGGTCATAGTCTATTATAGCATTATTCATCCTTTGTATCATGACCTCATCTTCTAATCTCCTCCTCCTTTGTACTGCCTGCTATGGTCTGAATGTATGTGGTCCCCCACCGAAACTCATGTGTTGAAACCTAATCATCCATGTGATAGTATTAGGAGGTGGGGTCTTTGAGAGGTGTTTAGGTCATGAGTGTGGACACCTCATGAATGGGATTAATGCCCTTATAAAAGAGGCTCCAGGGAGCTCCTGTGCCCCTTCGCCATTCGAGGACACAGTGAGAAGGTGCCATCTATGAAAGAGAAAGTCGGCCCTCACCAGACACCACATCCACCAGCGCCTTGATCTTGCACTTTCAGCCACCAGAGTGTGTGTGTGAATAGTACATTTCTGCTGTTAATAAGCCACTCAATTTATGGTATTCTGTTACAGCAACCCAAACAGACTAAGACACTGCCCTTGAGAACAGGAGCCACATCTAATTTATTTTTGGATCCCCAAGGCTCAGCATAAGTAACATGATAAGGAGTTGTTGCCATGAAGAACTGAACAGAATCGAATGGAACCTCTCACAGGCCACCTGGTCTGGCAAAGGCAAGACACCAGCTTCCTGGCTTTAGCTCCTGCCCTATGCCCAGGACTGGCCTTAGGTAAGAGTGGGTCCACATGGGATTCTGTAGGAAAGGAACCTGCCTACACAAGTTCTGTAGGAAAGGAACCTGCCTACACATGGAAAATATCTTTCCTATCTGCTCTACGGAGCTGCACATCTCTTTAAGGGAAAGAACACCCTCATTCCATAAATCAAAGTAAAGATTCAAAAGAAAATATGGCTGGTGCCCACCTTTCTCCGCTTGGCAGTTTGCACTTTTATCCATTGGCCAATTTGTTGGTTTGAAGACCTACCCTTCCTTTTATCAATCAATTCCAGAATCAATAATGCTTATTCTTTTATAATCAAAGAATGCATGCATTGTTGAGATGTACATATCATTACATGGAAATTAGTCTGCTGAGAGCTATCCTGCTTTTGATTATTTTATATGGGGCAAAAAGAACACGTGAGGATGACAATGAGAAGAGGTTTTTGTTTTTGTTTTTGAGGTACAGTCCTGCTCTGTTGCCCAGGTTGGAGTGCAGTGGCATGATCTTGGCTCCCTGCAACCTCCATCTCCCAAGTTCAAGCAATCCACCTGGCTCAGCCTCCCATAGGGCTGGGATTACAAGTGTTCTCCACCACACCTGGGTAATTTTTGTATTTTTAGTAGAGACGGGATTTTGCCATGTTGGCCAGACTGGTCTCAAACTCCTGACCTCAAGTGTTCCACCTGCCTCAGCCTCCCATAGGGCTGGGATTATAGGCATGAGCCACCAGGCCCAGCCAGAAGAGTTTGTTTTAAATACAATATAATGCTTCAGGCTGGGTGTAGTAGCTGACGCCTATAATCCCAGCACTTTGGCAGGTTGAAGCAGGCAGATCATTTGAACTCAGGAGTTTGAGATCAGCCTGGGCAACATGGTGAAACTCTATCTCTACAAAAAATACAAAAATTAGCCAGGCATGGTGGTGCATACCTGTAGTCCCAGCTACTCGGGAGGCTGAGGCACGAGAATCGCTTGAACCTGGGAGGCAGAGGTTGCAGTGAACCGAGATGACACCACTGCACTCTAGCCTGAGCAGCAGAGAGAGACTCTGCCAACCAATCAATCAATTATGCTTCAATCAGTAGGAGCTTTTAAAAATAAACTTAAGGCCGGGCGCAGTGGCTCATGCCTGTAATCCCAGCACTTTGGGAGGCTGAGGTGGGCAGATCATGAGGTCAGGAGATTGAGACCACCCTGGCCAACATGGTGAAATCCCATCTCTACTAAAAATACAAAAATTATCTGGGTATGGTGGCGCGTGCCTGTAATCCCAGCTACTCAGGAGGCTGAGGCACGAGGATCACTTGAACCTGGGAGGCGGAGGTTTCAGTGTGCCTAGATCTCAACACTGCACTCCAGCCTGGGTGACAGAGTGAGACCCTGTATCCAAAAAAAAAAAAAAAAAAAAATATATATATATATATATATATAGAGAGAGAGAGAGAGAGAGAGAGAGAGAGAGAGAAGTGTAATACATATACAGAAAAGCTACCAACCCCGAGTACACCTTGATGAATTGTCACAAAGTAGGCATACCTGGGACACCAGACCCAAATCAAGAAAGAGAATATTACCAGAGCCTCCCTCCCTGCAAGCACCATTCCCTGAAGCACTAAGCAGCTCACTGACTCTTAACGCCATAGTTTGGCCTGGGTTTTAACCTTGTCTGATGTAATCATGTGGTATAAATTCCTCTGTATCTGGCTTCTTTTGTTCAGCATGTTGGTGAGATTCATCAGCTGGGTTTAGCAGTTGCTAATACACTTTCATTACCATAAGAATTCATTTATAAGTATATTACAATGTATTTAGGCATTCTCCTGGTTTTTTTTTAAATTAACTTATTATTGTTATTTTTTTTTAGAGACAGGGGCTTGCTCTGTCACCCAGGCTGGAGTGCAGAGGTGAATCACGATGCACTGCAGCCTCTGACTCCTGGGCTCAAGTGATTCTCCTGCCACAGCTTCTCAAGTAGCTAGGACCACAGGTGTGCACCACCACACCCAGCTAATTTTTAAAATTTTTTGTAGAGATGGGGATCTTACTATGTTGCCCAGACTGGTCTTGAACTCCTAGGCTCAAATGATTGGCCTCCCGCAGTGCTGGGATTACAGGCGTGAGCCACAGCACCTGGCCAGCCATTCTCCTGTTGATGGACATTTGCACATCACTGGTGAACATGTTTTCACATTTCTTTTGGGGCTATGCCTAGGAGTGGCATTTCTGGGTAGTGGAATATGCTGGTGTTAGTAGATACTGCCAAAGAGTTTTCCCAAGTGGTTGTGCTATTTTACATTCTCACTAGCAGTGTATGAGCATTTCAGTTACCTCATATTTCTCCCAGCACTTAGTATTAACAATCCTTATAGTTTTAGACATTCTGGTAGGTGAGTATTGGTTTCTCACTGTGGTTTTAATGTGCTTGATGCCTTATGAGGTTGAGCATTTTTAATTTTTTCTTGGCCAATTACATCATTTTTTTGTTTCTTTCTTCCTTCCCTTCCCTTTCCTTCCTGCTTTTATTTTTTCTTTCTTTTGTGAAGCAGCTGTTAATTTCTTTTTACAATTAATTAAATTATTTTATTATTTTTAACTCTGATTATATATATATATGAACATAAAATTTACCATTTTTACTTTTTTTCTTTTGAGATGGGGGTCTTGCTATGTTGCCCAGGCTGTCTTTGAACTCCTGGGCTCAAGTGATCCTCCTGCCTCAGCCACCTGAGTAGCTCGGATTGCAGGCATGAGCCACTGTACCCAGCTCCCATTTTTACCAGTTGTGCAGCTCGGCGACATTAGCTACATTCACGTTGATGTACCACCATTGCTGCCATCCATTTCTAGCTGTTTATTTCTTTGGCTCTTTTTTTTTCTATTGAATCATCAACGTTTTCTTGCTAGTTTGTAGAAATTCTTTATATATTCCAGATATGGGTCTTTTAGCTACTGTATATTCCTTTTTACTCTCTCACTGATGAAAAGAAATTCTTAATTTTACTATCACCTAATGTACCAATCTTTTTCTTTTGGGTTAGTGATTTTTGTGTCCTGTTGAAGAAATGTTTATGTACCTCTTACCGAGCTTTTAAAATCTACATCTGCCTACTAAACTCTACTCTTCCGATTTTTGTTTTTTCCACAACCCCAATAAATCTCTGGTATAAGCCCTTCAGTGTTCTGATGCCTACATGTGCCAGGAAATGAACCAGGCACCATCACGGATGTTCCCTCCTATTTTGTGGGAAAATTGTCTTCATCATGATTTGCCCAAGCCAGAACACCATATGTACACTGAACAATTTCCATGGCTCCCCAACATCTGGAACCTTCCTGCATCGGAGGGGGATTGGATTGATGCTGGAGTGGGGTCAGGGGAGTGCCCATTCCCAGCCCCACCTGCATCCCGCAGGTGCGGGACTTGGCGAATGGAGGGAGGGTGCCCTTGAGCAGAGCCAGGCCAGGGCTATGGTTCTGCAAACAGACTGAGGACACACATGAGTCTGTTTGCATTGCCATGGGCTGCAGGGGTGGCAGAAGGTGGGAGAGAAGCAAGTAAAGGAGAGATCCAGAATGAAGAGGAGCAGAGCGCCAGGAGCAAAGCCCTAAGAAAGGAAAGAGAGGGAAGTACCTGGTTTAGCAGGTCAGCACTGCAGGAATGAGAGAGAGGTTGCAGGGATTGGCTCCAATCCCCCTGTCTCTGGTTTTTGTTGTTTTGGTGTCAGGACTGGCTAAGAGTCCCAGATTGTACAGAGCCTGACCAGGAAAGGTAATGAGGGCCCTGCAAAGCTTGGAGAGGGGAAGTCAGGGCTGTCCTGTGGGCAGAGGCTCCAGGGCACTTGAGCCAGGCTGGGGTTGTGGTTAAGGCCAGGCCTCGCAGAAGGGGCCCACACCAGTCTTTCCTGTCCTCTTTTCTCCCCCTCTCTCTCTGAATTGAGAAGTTTAAACAATCAATGAAAGGCCCACCCGCCAAAAAGAAAGTATTTGCCTGCTGGGCTCAGAAATGGTTATTATAAGCGGTTTGCAAATCTTCGTATTGTGGCAGAAAGCAGATCAGTGATTGCCTGGGGTGGGGCAGAGTGGGAGGGGCAGGAGGGAGGGATCACAAAGAAGCACAGGAAAATCTCTGGGGGGGATGGACGTGTTCACTGTATAGTGTTGGTTTCATGGGTGTATACATACGTCAACACTTGTCAGATTCTACACTTTGAACACAGTGTGATCGTATGTCAATTACCCCTCAGTGAAGCTGTTAACATCCCCCCAGCACACATGCATGTGCTCACACACATACACTCCACGTGCGCACCTACACACACACCCCCACAGGCACACACACGCGAGCTCTGACACAGTCTGCAGGGCAGTGGTTCAGGTTACACTTTAATCGTGCAGTGCGCACCTCTCTCTCGGCAAACCTCCCCGCTTGCAGGAGTCATGGATCTTTTGTGCCCTTGTCACAAGACAGACAAACCAACACTGAGACGGCCTGACTCTGTGGCTGCAGTGTGACTGTGATACCACTTAAAGTTCAGTATTCCAGGATCTGGGAAGGCCCGAGCCAAGGAGAGAACTGCCAGGTGCACAGAGCAGGGCAGACTCTTGAATCTGCATCTGTCTCATCCTCACCACCCTTACAACCCCGACGATCACTGAGCTTGTGGCTTAAACTTCACAATCGGCAGGCTCACCCCAGGAGCCCTGTCCTCACAGGCATTGGGAATGTCTTCTTTCCTTCTTCAGGGGAAAATTAAAAACGGAGAATGAGGGGTTCGGGGGTTAACACACCAAGGGAATGAACCGTATTTGGGGCCCCCAGGACGGAGCTGAGGATTGTGGTTCTGATGATCACCACACACCTCTAGAGAACAAGAATTATAGGGAATTTTCTCCTCTCCAAACAGTGTGTTTATGTAATAGTTTCTCACTGCAGGAGGCTTTAAAGCTCCAGAGAACATCTCTAGTGATACAGAAAAATAAAAAACAGTGGTGACTGTCACACTAACAGATTGCTACCAGCAAACATTTACAGCAAGGCATAAAAATCAACAGATTATCTTTCCTTTTACCAAACGACAGTAGCCGACTGCTGACCTGAGCAGCCTTCTCCAGGAGGCCCACTGGTCCTGGTGCGTTCATTCTGCCTCTCATGGGCTCTCTGCTGATCAATCGTTGCTGCTGGTGGCCAACCAAGGTCTTCGGTGGGAATCGGGGCTGCTGGGGTGCGATGGTTCCTCAAACTAGGACCACACCTCATCAGCACAGGGCTCTCACCAGCTCTGAGCGCCAGCTCCAGAGGAAGAAGAGAGAAGAGCAGTAAAGCTGAGCCCCAAAGCAAAACGTTGGAAAGGTTCCCACCCCCCACTCTTAGAAACACCTGGCAATGGGGCGCGGTGGCTCACGCCTGTAATCCCAGCACTCTGGGAGGCCGAGGCGGGCGGATCACAAGGTCAGGAGTTCGAGACCATCCTGGCTAACATGGTGAAACCCCGTCTCTACTAAAAATACAAAAAATGAGCCAGGTGTGGTGGTGGGCGCCTGTAGTCCCAGCTTCTGGGGAGGCTGAGACAGGAGAATGGCGTGAAACCGGGAGGCGGAGCTTGCAGTGAGCTGAGATCATGCCACTGCACTGCAGCCGGGGCAACAGAGCGAGACTCCATCTCAAAAAAAAAAAAAAAAGGAAACACCCGGCTATGGACCCTGAGTGACCGAGGGCCTGGGGAGGAAACTGTTTGCTGCTTCATAGTAAAACCTAAAAAGCTCTTGTGACATGTGGGTGGACACCTCTAAAACGGGGAACGTCCAGCCAGCAAGCCAGAGGCCTCCCTCGGGTGAACTCAGATCTTTTTTTGGTGGGGTGGGCACGGTCTCGCTCTGTCGCCCAGGCTGAATTGCAGTGGTGTGATCACAGCTCACTGCAGCCTTGACCTCCCAGACTCAAGCAATCTACCCACCTCGGCCTCCTGAGTAGCTGGAACTACAGGCATGCACCACCACGTCTGGCTAATTTATTTCTATTTTTTATTTTTGGTAGAGATGGGGGTCTTACTCTGTTGCCCAGACTGCTCTTGAACTCTTGGCCTCAAGTGATCCTCCTGCCTTGGCTTCCCAAAGTGCTGGGATTACAGGCATGAGCCACCGTGCCCAGCCCAGATCTTTAAATAGGAAGAAGGGAAACAGAGCTGATGTTCACATCTCCTAGGGCATCAGTTTCCATATATTCAGGCAAAACCCCCTTGGGGAAGCTTGAGACAGGGACAAGAAGCATCTATCTATAGGTATATTTTGTAAGAATTAGTCATGTAAACATGCTTGTAACAATGAAAACATTTCCCCAATTTATTTGAAAAGTAAAAGTTTCTCATAATCACACCCACTAGAGGTAATTAGTGATGATCAAACCGAAAGTTTGGTGTCTTTTCTGTGCTGACATGACTGTCCCTCACCGTGGAAATCACCAAGAAGTTCCTGCTGGGGATAATGAGTGTCAGGCACCAAGCTTGCATCAGGAGTGATGGCACACATTCCAAATGAATTGCATTCCTGAGTTGAAGACAGTGAGTAGCAAAAGTTTATATACCAAGGCTTTGTCTAAAAACTTACCTAATTTTATTTCACCCAGGAGCTTGACAGTGACAGCGTGGCTAGCAAAAATACCTATAATAACATACATATGACAAGTCTACAAATTGCTTCTAAAATTCAAGGGGCAAGAAATGTCACATTTACTTATTGTCATAGAAAGAGAAAGCCCAGGCTGGGCGTGGTGGCTCATGCCTGTAATCCCAGCACTTTGGGAGGCCGAGGCGGGTGGATCACGAGATCAGGAGATCGAGACCATCCTGGCTAACACGGTGAAACCCCGTCTCTACTAAAAATACAAAAAATTAGCTGGGCGTGGTGGTGGGCGCCTGTAGTCCTAACTGCTCAGGAGGCTGAGGCAGGAGAATGGCATGAACCCGGGAGGCAGAGCTTGTAGTGAGCCGAGATCGCGCCACTGCACTCCAGCCTGGGTGACAGAGCGAGACTCTGTCTCAAAAAAAAAAAAAAAAAAAGAAAGAAAGACAGAGAAAGGCCAAGAGCCCACGACACACCATTACCCTGGGGTCTATAGAGCGCAAAGGATGAAAAAGGAGAGAATGCTGTTCTTGGGTGTGGTTTGGTTGCTATGAAATCTCTGTTCCAGCCCTTACTGGGGGGGGTGACCTTACGTAAATTATATAACCTCTTTTGGTCTCAGAGTTCTCATTTGAAAAATAGGGCTGATTGTAATTCTCATCTAAGACAGTAATAAATATTCATCACCATCATTGCTACATGTTCTCTTAAAGAGTTGCACAGTATGGGCATAAGATCATTTGTACATCCAATCCCACATAAAGGGACATTTAAATGCAGAGAATAGACTATTTTAGCAAGCTGTTACAGGACGTGAAGATGAAAATTTTGTCTGAGACCCCATCTATATCAATGTCTGTTTGTATTTATCTCTATCTATCTATCTATCTATCTATCTATCTATCTATCTATCTATCTGTATATTTATCAAAAGTGAGCTGTGAGAATGACCACCCTGGTTGTATTAGTCGTCTACTGTTGAATAGCAAATTACCCCCAAACTCACACTTTCTGGAACAAAAAATCCAGATGTAGCTTAGCCAGATCCTCTGTCTAGAGGTCTCTCCAGGGCTGCGGTTTAAAGGGTGAACCAGGCTGGACTGGGAAAGGATTCTCTCTCAAGCCCGCTCCTGTGGGCACTGGCAGGACTCAGCTCCTCACTTGATGTTGGTGGGAGGTCGCCCTCGGTCCCTTGGCTCATGGGCCTGTCCTATGGGTACTTCCCAGCATGGCAGCTGGACTCTCCCATAGTAAGCCAGCCAGAGGAGGCAAAAAGAGAACATGTGTGCACCAGCCACAAGTCACAGTCTTTTACAGCCAGATTTCAGAAGTGACTGCTTTTGCCATGTTCTGTTTGTTAGAAGCGAGTCACCAGGTCTAGCCGTACATCATACACAGATGTGAAGAGCAAGAGGTCGGGATCACTGGGAGCCAGTTTAGAAGCTGCTGAACGCACTTCCTTCTCCTTCTCTCCTCCTCCTTCTCCTTCTCCTCCTTCTCCTCCTTCTCCTCCTCCTCCTCCTTCTCCTTCTCCTCCTTCTCCTCCCTTCTTGTTCTTCCTTTTCTTCTTCTTCTCTGAGGATAAGTAACAAGGTACACGCAAATTTAGAACTATATATCTTTCAATAGAACTTAGTCTGCTGTCATTATGAAAAACTTTTTCCTACCATGCTTTTTGCTTTAATAGATATTTTGATATTAGCATAGCTACACCAGTTTTTGTTTGGTTATTGTTTGCACAGTATATATTTTCTACCTTTTTACGTTCAACTTTTCAGTTTCCGATGCGTTTTCTTTTCTTGTCAACAGCATATATGTATATCTAGGTCAATATATTTTGAATACAGCCTGAAAATATTTAGCTTTCACACAAGAATTTAGTCTATTTTTATTTAATGTGTTTGTTAATATTTTGAGATAAAATATACCATATTTTCTATGTGCTATTATTTGTCCTGCCAGTCTATGTTGCTTTTTCACATCTTTCTTGCACATTTCGGATCAGTTAAGTATTTTTCCATAGTCTCCTTATGTTAGTTTAGAGGATTATATATATAATATACACACACGTTCAAAAAATTGAGACATAATTGAAACAACATAAAATTAACCATTTTAAGAGGCAAACAATTCAATTTTTAAAGGATATTTACAAGGTTGTGTGAACATTACCATTATTTAATTCCAGAACATTTTCATACCCCCCAAATAAAAACCTGTACCTGCCGCTCCCCACTCCGGTTGCCCCATGTCACCCCCTGTCCCTGGAAACCACGAATCTATTTTCTGTTTCTATGGATTTACCAATCCTTGGCATTTTATATAAATGGAATCATACAATATGTGGCCTTTTGCATCTGGCTTCTTTCACTTAGCGTAATGTTTTCAAGGTTCAACCACACTGTAGCATGTATCAATACCTCATTCATTCATCTGTATTGCCAGATAACATTCCATTGGATATGCCAATTCATTGTTTATCCTTTCTCCAGTTGGTGAATATTTGGTGGCTATTATGAATAATGCTGCTATGAACATTCACATACAAGTATTTGAGTACCTATCTTTAATTCTCTTGGATATATACTAGACGTAGAATTGCAAGGCTTAAGAGTTCCTTAAGAAGTTTAACTTCATCCTTATGCCAGTTTGAGGAACTATCAAGCAGTTTTCTACTGTGGCTGTACCAGTTGACATTTTCACCAGCAAATGTGTGAGGATTTCAATTTTTTCACATGTTCATCAACATTTGTTATTGTTATTATAACTGAACGTATTAGTTCAGTTTTTGGTATTTTCTTGTTATAGTCATTCTAGTGGGATAAAGTGATGTCTTACTGTAGTTTGATTTGCATTTCCATAGTGGCTGACATTGAGCATCTTTTTTTTTTTTTTTTTTTTTTTGTGACAGGGTCTTGCCCTGTCACCCAGGCTAGAGTGCAGTGGCACATTTGCAGTTCACCACAACCTACTTGGTAATGGTGTACATATAAGTTTTATATGTTGTCAGATTACTTCATTGAGAATATCTGCATTTGTATTAATAAGGAATGTTAACATAAATATATAGTCTATATGGTCTATAGTTTCCTTGTGATGTCTTTGTCTGGTTTTGGTATTAGGGCAACACTAGCCTTATAGAGGTAAGGAAGCATTCACTCCTCTTATTTTGTGGAAGAGTTTGTGAAGGATTGGCATTGATTCCTTTTTAAACATTTGACAGAATTTATGAGTGAAGCCATCTAGTGCTGGGCTTTTCTTCGTAGAAAGTTTTTTGACAGCAGATTCAATCTTTTTGTCTATTTTAGTTTTTTCTTTCTTCTTGAGTCAATTTCAAGTTTGTGTCTTTCTAGGAATTTGTCCATTTCATTTAGCTAATCTAATTTGTTGGGATACGATTCCTCAGCACTCTCTTATAGTTCTTTTTATTTCTCTAAGGTTGGTAGTAGTGTCCCCCCTTTTCATTTCTGATTTCGGTGATTTGAATAGTCTCTTATGTCCTTGGTCAGTCTAACTAAAATTTGTCAATTTTGTTGATCTTTTCAAAGAAATGACTTTAGGTTTCATAGATTTTTCTCTACTGTTTTTCTGTACTTCATTTTACTTACTCCTGCCCTAATCTTCATTTCTTTCCTTCTACTTGCTATGGGTTTAGTTTGCGGTTCTTTATTTCTAGTTTCTTAAGGTAGAAGATTAGGTTATTGATTTGGCATCTACTTTTCTCATATAGATGTTTTATTATATAATTTATTACATAAATTTGGTTATGTTGTGTCTTCATCTTCATTCATCTCAAAGTATTTTCTAATTTCTCTTGTGGTTTCTTGTTTGACCCATTTGTTATTTAGGAATGTGGTTTAATTTCCGCATATTTTTGAATTCTCCACATTTCTTTGTTATTGATATCTCATTGCATTCCATTGAGGCTGGAGGACATACTTTGTATGATTTTAATCATTTTAAACTTTTAAGACTTGTTTTATTGCCTAACATATGGTCTATCCTCGAGAATGTCCCAGGTGCACTTGAGAAGCATATGCCCTCTGCTGTTATTGGATGAAGGGTTGTATAGGTGTGTTACGTCTAGGTGGTTTAAAATGTTGTTCCAGTCTTCTATTTCCTTGTTGATCCTCTGTCTAGTTGTCCTATGCAGTGTGTTTCATACAGGTGATAGACATATATATGTATATAATTTACCCAGTTTTAGTATATAAAATTTAAGAAAATAAGAATTAATGTTAAATACATTAGATCTTAGCTTTTATTCTAATACCTGTATTAAACCATTTATTAGCCATTTAAGTGCTTGTGACTCTAAAGGTCATAAAACAGATTTTAAATTTTGAAATGCTAGTCTCTTATCTTGCCAAAAAAGTAAGTTTTAAACCAGGGTTGAAATCATTCAATGTCATTTTCACCAAAGCAGACATTCGTTTGCTTCTTCAGACAGACATGCTGTCAGAACGTTCCCTAGGGAAGAGGGAGAGGATTCCTGTGATAGGAGAGGATTCCCCTGTTGCCAAATAGTGAAGGTATTTATTTTTAAATGCTAGTTAGTATTGAGAGAGCTCGGTGGGCTGGTCCAGCTCTTACAGATGCAGAAAGCTTGTAGACCATCAGAATTCCCTGGTAAGTTTAGCGTTGACTTGAAAATAGCCTAAATCCAGAGCCACTGGGCAGGCTGGAACCACCCGTTCTGCCATGCTGCCCCACCACTCTCACTTGCAGAGAATCACAGGCCCATGGGATGCCAGGATGGGCTGGACACCACAGGCCATTGGTCCCCTCCTTGCCTTCCCACTTAAGGGAAGAGTGCATAGAGCAGTGGAGTGTAGCCCTCTCTTCCCAGGTGCTAGGTCACCAACAGGCTGTGTGATGGTGGGCAAGTGGCCTGACCCTTCTGGGCCTCAGTTTCTTCACATGTAAAGTTAAACTGGTGCACGAAACATCGGAGATCTCCTCTCCTCCTTAGTTCTGGGCTGTACTCCAGGGTCTCATATTCCCAGTTATCTGTGCTTTCACCTGCCCGAGTCTCTCCCTTCCTCTAGAGGGCGGGACTCCCTGGCATGTCCTGGAGTCCATTTGAAAAGTTTCGGCTTAGAAACAGCTTCTCACACTTGGTGGGGCACGAACCTGGGGCTGTTGTCGGAAAAGCCTCAGAAAGCTCCTGTCTGCATGCTAGGACAGGAAGGCCATGCACTGGGGAAAGTTGGTTACAGGAGAGGTCAGCACAGAGAGGCCACCAGATGGCTCAGTGAGCGGACCTGGGAAAAGCAGAGACTGAGTTTCCCTAGGGCAATGACAGAATCCTGTGTCCCCAGGGTTTTTCCCTCTTAAGCTGTGTGTCACTATTTGGCAGGTGCCAATTCTCTTGCAACACACAGAAAATATATTTTCTTCTTTTAGAATATTTATAAATATTTATATTTACCTCTAGGGGAGAGAACTTGATTTTCTTTTGGAGAAGCTGTAACGCTTGTTCATACTAGTGTAAGAAGAAGTGTACCAGTGGGTTGGAGCCTCTGAGGAGCCCAATGAGAGGGAGTTGGCCATGAGGCTGGCCCTAGCCCCCTAGGCTCCTGCTGTGCCCAGAGACTGGGGGCACCCCTCACTCCCTCTTGACCAAATATGGGGCGAGAGAATGGGAGCAGCCCGTCTGAGGCCATCTACAGTCCCGTTTACGTAGTTGGCACACTTTTCCCTCCAAGATCGTCAGAGTTCTGGGTTCTTCTCATTTTCTGTAGCTGTCACTAGTATTGCTGGGGACATCACAAACTAAATCAGCCTGCCTAAAGACTATTTGAGACCTCTCATTTTATAGAGTGATGCTAGGACAGGAAGGCCACCAGCTGGGGAAAGTTGGTTACAGGAGAGGTCAGTACAGACAGGCCACCAGATGGGCTCAGTGAGTGGATCTGGGAAAAGCATATTAATGTGTATTACATTAATATTCTCTGCAAAATAATCTCAAAAAACTGAATGAGCAAACGGACATCAAGTGTTTCGAAGCGAGCCTGGTTTATGCTGCAGTGTTAAGTGCCATCATCACTGTTACCCTCATGGTCGAGGAAGCAAGGCTGCCTGGCTGTTGTGCCTGTCTCTGGCTCTCAGGGGTAACAGGCTCCCGACTTTGGCTTTGAGGGGCTGAGCAGTCTTAAGCCCAGGAGCTGGGAAGCTCTAGGGGAGAGAACTGGATATATACAAGATGTTTTTCATGCATATCCTTTAAAGTTTTTTAAAGCATACAATTTTCTTTAAACCTAAGATTTCATCAACATTCTTTTTCAATAAATGTGTATTCCACTGTGATGGTGTTGCACAATTATTTAACCAAAACCCTACTGAGGAACATGAATGCAGTTTCCAATGCTTCACTGTCAGGAACAATCCTGAGATGAACTTAACTGCGTACCTATCTTTATTGTTGTATTTCCTATGACCACTCATTCCTTAAGATGAATCCTTATTGATGGAGTTGCTGGGTCCAGGCTTTTTATATTTGACAGTTACTGTCAAATTCTCTTCAAAAGTTGGACCGAGACTTTCACCCACCTGAGCAGTCGCATTTCCCTTCCTCCTCACCCACGCAGGGCACAAAACAGAAGCACTTCACTGCTGTCGCCAGTGCTACTTCTAGTTGGGATCAATTCTTGTGCAAGAAGTTGGAAGGTGGAAGGTTTGCTTCAGAAAAAGGGGAGGTGGCTCACAAGGCCCAGAGGATTCAAAGTCTCGGATGATGCAGACAGACAACTTGGAGATTTTACTCAGTTCCCTATTTGTGAATTCTACAACACTGACATCTTGGTGTCTTTGCCAGAATATGTGCTTTGCCACATCGACCTTGGGTAAAAGCTTCATGCTACTCCTGTTCAAATTACCTACATGACGTTGGGCAAGTGTTTAATTCTTCAGGTTCCTCATCTGTAAAACAGGAGTGAAAACAGCCACGACAGGTTTGGGTAAAGAAGGAGTAAGTTACAACTCTACGTAAGAGAAAACTTAACAGTGAATGAAGTCAGTCAGTCACAGAAGCTTATTTGTGATATGATATAAAGGTTAAAAACATGTAGAACTAAAAGTAATTTATTTTAGGAATAAGTTCTTTGAAGGAGAAGTGGATGATGGACACAAAGTGAGGAAATGGTCACCCGGGTGAAGGTGACCAGGGAGGATACTGGTCAAATTGTTAGGTCCTACCTAGGTGTTAGTCACACAGGGTTTCATTCCATTGAACTGTACAGATGCTTTATACACACATGTATATCTCACACACACACGAAAGAGAAAACATCCCATGAGAAATCTCACAAGAATCAGAGAAACATTTCAAATGTGTTAAGAAATATTAGTTTTATTTAACCAGTTTTCACAGCTGAATATTTATTCTATAAAAACTTTACAGATTGTACAGTTTATATATAGTTCAAACTACTGAACGAAAAGGTAGGTCCCACAGATGCAAAAATACTGTACCAATCAATCCAAGATAAAGGCAGATTTACACACTGTACAGCTCTCCGCGTGGCCGGGGAGGTGGTCAGTTCTAAGTATAAACTTCAAAACTGTACAAAAATAAGAATTTGATTTCGCTCTTCATACATTCAATATGATTGCAAGCTCAGAAGCCTAACTAATAATAGGCATCTGGAGTCTGGAATCAGTACCCACTCCTGGAAGGAGTGCACATGTCTATCCACACAGGGCACTCTTGGACACCATACTGAACTCAGTATATTGTATAGACATAAAAGCAGAGGCCAAGAACATTAAATGTTGAATATAAGGTAGTTCTTTTTTGTTTTGAAAGGAGTTTTTGCATTTAATAGTGTGCCAAAAGAATTTTAACTTATTAAATAAAATATATTCTAAGTGAACCTAAAAATTACACTTTATAAACATAAAAATATTTTATTTTGGTGAAATACATCAATCATATCTGCAAACAGAAAACCAAAACTGTCTATAAAGTAGTATTTCTCACCCAGCAACAAGAAGCACTTATGTAGTTATTTTTCAGAAGGGTCAGAAAAACTATTTAAAACCCACTAAAGACTAACTTATAACTTAGATAGTCATACTTAAGCTATTCAGTGATTCACTAATACTGCAAAACAAGCTTTCTTCTAGAGACAGTGGTTTCTTCATGTTAACTGGGTAAGAACTGGACGTATTTTAAAAAGAAGGGGAAACCAATTGATATCTCAGCATGAATCCTAAGCATATGTCTGGTTTGGGGTATGCTCCTCAGCGGATTTTTCATCAGAAGTATTTATCCTAGAAGCTAAGTCTTTTGATTTTGAGTTTCCCGAATCTGAGGTATCTGTACCTTCTTGGAGAAAAAGCCAACGCCTCACATCACTCTGTGTCTCTACGTGGGGCAGGGAGGCGAGGCTGGCTAATACCCCTTTAGATTCTGTGTTCTAGAAGGAAGAAATGAGGAAAACAAACATTATTCCAGACTTTTCTGTCATCCAAAACCAATAAAACACAATTCTGTTTTTTATACAGTACTAGCCAAAGAAAACAAAAATTAGAGCTTCTAAGAGCAGTCTAGTGCTCACCTTTATACTTTTACACCTGCGTGTATATAAGTATAAAATAATGACGTTTGGACAAAGAAGCTTTGTAGTTATTTATTTTAAAGTTACAGTACTTTAAAACTCCTCGATAATAAATAGCGTGGATGTTCCCAGTCCTGCTTCCAAGCGTAAGCTACGGGTGAGCTTGTTTCAGGCTGTGAGAATGGATCAGGGGAACTGGAGCCGGTGATGTTCTCCTGCTCAGCCCGATCCCGGTGTCACCAGTGGGCAGCCCGACACTCAGAACTCATCGATCTTCCTCTGCAAGTACTTTAACATGGAGTCCATCCCCTGGGCCGAGCCCCAGATTTTCTTCAGCACCTCACACTCCCTCTCGTTGGCCTGCTCCAGCTCCATCTTCATGTTGCAGCGCACGAGGGCTTTGGATTCCTCAAGCACCTGCACCGGAAAACAAGCAGCCAGTTAGCAGGGTGCATGCGGGCAGACACGGGTCCCCTGTGCCTCCACATTTACGGAGGCAATCATCAAATTCCAGCAATCACCTGTTAAAAAGGTTACCAGACATTTTCTCACAATATGTCGGGCCTAACATATGTATAAAGCACATTTCACACTTGGCACTGGGTGCATTCTTAACTTCAAAACGGCTTATTTCAAAGGAGAGCTGGGCTGTCGGCACCCAGCCTGTGAGCAGCCTCGGCCCCGCGCCACTGCCGCATACTGGCGTGGACCCCCGAACTGGACGTCTGCTCTGCTGATGCCCAGAAAGCTCTGGGGATGCCTGTTGAGGGAATTTTTCTAAACAAAATGTAATTTTCATAATGAGGGTTGCTTGTCTGCCTGGGATGGGAGTCGTGTCAGTTAATATTATACATTTCACATCCTATAATTTGCCAAATGCAATTTTGTTACAAGCATATTTTAAAAAAAAATTATTTGTGGTTTTTTTTTTGACACAGGGTCTTGCTTTGTTGCCCAGGCTGGACAGCAGTGGCGGGATCTCCGCTCACTGCAATCTCCGCCTCCCGGGTTCAAGCGATTCTCTCACCTCAGCCTCTCGAGTAGTTGGGATTACAGGCGTGCACCACCAAGCCTGGCTAACTTTTGGATTTTTAGTACAGACGGGGTTTTGCCATGTTGGCCAGGCTGGTCTCCAACTCCTGACCTCAAGTGATCTGCCCTCCTCGGCCTCCCAAAGTGCTGGGATTATAGGCGTGAGCCACTGTGCCCGGCCTATTTAGCACATTTATTAAACAAAAACTTAGGAGGCCGGGCACAGTGGCTCATGCCTGTAATTCCAGCACTTTGGGAGGCTGAGGTGGGTGGATCAACTTGAGGTCAGGAGTTCGAGACCAGCCTGGCCAACGTGGTGAGACTCCGTGTCTACTGAAAATACAAAAATAACCCAGGCATGGTGGCGCATGCCTGTAGTCCCAGCTACTCGGGAGGCTGAAGCACAAGCATCACTTGAACCCGGGAGGTTGAGGTTGCAGTGAGCCAAGATTCCACCACTGCACTCAAGCCTGAGCGACAGAGTGAGACTCCATCTCACAAACAACAACAACCCAAAAACAACTTAGGCCCACTGTGGGGAAACAGGGGAGAAGCTAATAATGTGACTGAAAGGCTTTGGAACCAGTAAAGAATTATATCCATGTTAGTTGTTGTTGACTTTCATAGGACATTTGCTAACTTGCTGACATTTCAGACTGAAGTCCATTTCTGTGGTTCCTGGGTATTTGCAAAGGGAAGGCAAGGCGTGCGTGGGGGCAGTGGCGGCAATAGGTTCTGGCAGGACTTCACGGGAAGGTGCTCTGTTGAGGACAAACGTAAAGGACTTAGGAATAATTGCAAATTTGTGAGCTCTCTGAGGGAAAAGTTTCTATTTTTTAAAAAGTAACGTGTAACAGAAGCAATTAGACATACAACTGGATTGCACGAGGCAAGCTCCTTAATGCGAACCATCACTTCCTGAGTGAACGTCCCGGGCCAAAACACCTGGGAGACCAGGCCCTTGCCACACGCCTCCTGCGCTGTCAGCTTCCGTCCACTGAGCAGCATCTCGTTTGCCTGCAAGGAAGAAGAGTGGATGTAATATGAATTGCGGTGGGAGGCGGGCGGGGAAGACCCATCCCTTAAAATCCACACCGAAGGGAAACATTCACAAATACCAGCCCCGCAGGGAAATGGGGCACATCCTCTAGGGGCCGCTGGGAACAGACCCTGTGCAAGGTGCAGTCCATTGGGCAGGTGGGAAAGTAATCTATCGGGCTGATGATTTTTTTCTTAAAAAGGAAAGCAAAAAGTGTCTTATTTTACAACCTACTACAGAATTACAGGGACTCAATAAAGAAATCTAAAATAGAAAAGGTCTTTTTGCCATTCGTTTAAAAAGTTACTGGTATAGCTTCCTCTCCTCTCATCTGCCTTCCTCCCCCTAATGCCGGCCCTTCCCACGTGTGAGCTCTTTTAATACACAAAACAATCCTGGGAAAATCAGCATATGCAAAGTTAGGCAATTTATAATTTTAAGGATTTGAACCAGGCACAGAATTCCTACCAAACCTTTTCTTTATCTGGGAGGCCAATGGTGACTTGTTTTTAATATACAGAAAAAATATTCTAATGGCAGCGACCGTTTCTGCTAGAGCGTACCTTGGAGGCTGCCTTGTATCGCTTGGATACGAAAAGACAGAACTATCCAGGGCTTGAATGTGGCGAAAAATGACCGTAATCTGCTTGAGGGGCTGGCTACAGTCACCTCACACGGCTCAGTGGAGAAAGCTAACATTAGGTTTTCTTTAAAAGAATATATATGTGTATATATGAAATTAATTTTAACCTTGTCCTGGATTCTAGATCACTTTATTTTTTAATACATGACACTGAACTAGATCACTTTTAAGGTCTCAGTACAACATGTATGGATTTTACATCATTCAAATGACAGGCTCACAGATGCCGAGATAAGGCGGGAAGGGGTGCACACATGTCTGATAAAGAAACTCCACACTGGCCTGAGGGGACAATTTTTGGTCTGTCGTTTATCTTGCCCGGTTAACCTTCCTAACAACTCTGATGTCACAAAGCCTTGACTATGAGCTCCTGGGGCTCTGGTAAAACACAATTTCGGTAGGTGGCTTCCACTTCCAAAAGAGGCAAAATCACAAAAGACAGTTTTGGCCCTGAAGTCGCTGAGACAGTGTAAGACTGCCCATACACCTTCTGTCAATGTCTTGATGCCGTTTACTGCATGTGAAACCCGCAGCTTGGAGAGCACACAGGCAGAGGCGGCAAAGCAAACACGTGGCTGACTCACTGCCCCTCCCATGCAGGCAGAGGCTGGAAAACAGGGCTGGGGACAGGCTCCTCATGAGGGTTTGCAAGTTTTTTTTTTTTTTTTTGAGACGGAGTCTCCTTCTGTCGCCCAGGCTGGAGTGCAGTGGTGCAATATCGGCTCACTGCAAGCTCCGCCTCCCAGGCTCACACCATTCTCCTGCCTCAGCCTCGTGAGTAGCTGGGACTACAGGCGCCCGCCACCACGCCCGGCTAATTTTTTTTTGTATTTTTTGGTAGAGACGGGGTTTCACTGTGTTAGCCAGGATGGTCTCGATCTCCTGACCTCGTGATCCGCCCGCCTGGGCCTCCCAAAGTGCTGGGATTACCAACTTGGAGAAAGTCATGAGTTTTTGAAGAGTCTGGAGAAGTTCTAGAAACCCCTGAACTGACGAGCTTCTTCTCAGTGAAAAGACGGTCCATAAACAGTGGATTTAGAAACGCGACCCGACCTTACTGTGAGTGGTTCTGATAGTCCTTGTCACGGCAGATCCAAACGCAGCAGGAAAGGGAGTGGGACTCCCGGTGTGCTGCTGCCGCACGAAGTGCTCTGTGCTGTCGGGGTTTTCCTTTCATAGACTGTGCTTCTTTCATTCTCAGCATAGAGTGAGGACACTACAGCCACATCCCTGAAGTTGAGCATGAAGTATGTTCTCAGGACCAGCTTAGTGGAGCCTTAGCTTGGGCAGCGGAGGCAAGCGACCCCGCCAGGCCTGGTGTCTGCGGTTCAATCACAAAGGGCAGGTGTCCGCAGGCTTCCTCTCCCGCCCTTCCTGCAGGGCCCTGGCTGTCTGTCCCAGTCAATTCTTCCAACTTTATTTTCTGCCACCTGGAGGTCAACTTACAGCCCCACCACTGTTCTCTTCCCTGTCTCCCTTTCGTCCCCCCTTTGTTGACTCTCTTGGGCCTGATACCAGCCGAGAACGGCCCTTCTCTCTGCTCAGCACTCACTCATTGCGGCCGGTCTTCCTCCACAGCCCCGCCGGCTCCAGGCCTGCTCATCCCTGGAGATCCTTTCCCTACCTTCGGTGTTCTCCATTCCAGGTGGTTGGATGTGCAGGACAAGCAAGGGCATTTCTCAATTTACTCAAGAGCAAAAATGACAGGGCTCACGCTAGGTTGTTAAAGCTTTTTCACTTAAACACGGCCAGTGAGTTGGTTTGAACGACAGTCACCCAAGAAAACAACAACAACAAATCTCCCTTGGTAAGATATGTATTATAGGATTAAATACACGCAATTTGCGTGAGCATATTCTTATATAAACACACTATTTTCAGTAGTTTCAAAATGAGAGGTTTCAAACTTCTACCCAAATAACCGATTCACACAGATGCAGGCGGTGGGAACCTGACCAGCTAGCACGTTGCTCTGAGATGGCTGAGTGCACAGGGACTCCCTGTAGACAACCTACATCACCCCATGATGTGGTCAAAGTTGTCCAACTATTAAAAGAAAGTTATCCTGGAACCATCCAGAGAGATGGGAAATGCCGAGGAAAGTTAAATAGAGATGTCTTTTTAGTTTGGCCAGAGTACAGCAGGACGGGTGGCGAGGAAACTGGCCCAGTATGAGCAGAGGGGATCCAGGAATCTTCAGCCTTATGGGGACTGCTGTGGCAGAGGTTTTACCACCTGCTCCCTCAGGCCAGTCTCTGAAGTCCCCAAGAGAGGGCTCTCAAGGTGTGAGCGTGGGGTAAGGCCCTCAGGTACTCGCTGGGCATTCTCCAGCTTCACACCCCAGCAGGCCCCTGAGAGGTGCAAGATTTCCACGTGGGAGCCTGTGGGCGTCAGACCGTGCCATCCTCCATGCACTCCATGAATGTCTACTGGGCACCAGGAAGGCTAAACTGGAAGAGACTCCTTGGCTGATTTACGTAGCCCTCGCCTACAGCGGAGGGCCTGCTGTAAGAAAGGAGAGGCCACACAGCCTGCACTATTTGCATATTCTTTTTATCTTGATAATGTGATTCCTTTAGCTTATCCTCCTGGCAGAGCTCTGCACATGCAAAGTGGGGAAAACCACACTTGTCCAGTCTTGCCTCAGGCTGCTGAAAGCTCAAGTACACCAAAGGCTCATGAAAGGAACGACATCATTTACATCATCTGCATAGTCACTTTCAACAAGAGTTGTCGAAGTCATCTGAACAACGTTTATTCACTTTCTGTAGAGAGGCTTCGTCAGATACTCTGCTCAGAAAGTGTAGAATTCACGCCGAGTGAAATGCAGGCTCTTCGCTCTTGAGTTAGAGCAGGGTTTCTCCCCCTGGACACTAGGGACATTCTGGGCTGGACTGTTGTTTGGTGTGGGGGCTGTCCTGTGGGGGCTACATGCAGGGTGCTAAGCAGGGCTGTCCCGTGGGCTATGGAGGGTGCCGAGCAGTACCCCAGCCTCTGCTAACGGCCATCTCCTCATGTGTGACAACCAAGTTGTCTCCAGACATTGTTCCCCAGGGGTGAGGTCGGGGGTGAAAACTGCCCAGTTGAAAGCAGCAGCTCAAGAGGCACCAGTACATCTCCAGGGGAAGCGTAAAGTAAAGATCTGCCAAGGCTTGTAGAGTAGGGAGAAACACGGCTGACCAGAGGGCAGGCATTCGTCCTGTGATGACTTCAAGCCTCATGGCCCTTTCTGGGAATGGTGAACTCTGACACCTCTACCCCTGAGCAGCATTCAGCTCCAGGGCTCCACTTCCAAAATGTCTTTGGCCAAAATGTGTCTGAACATCAAGGTGGTTTAGTATTTGCCCCACATCTGCACCGACACCACACATCTACATAGATCATACAGTGGGAGGGGTCAGAACCTCAGATCTCAACCTCCTTTGGATAAATAACTCAAAATGAGATTCACGGGATGTTCCAGAGGATGAGGATTCTTTCCTGCCGGGACAGGGTTAACTGGCAGGACACAGTCTCGTTTACAGTAATCACTACGATGAACTGATTTTACTGATAATGACTCTACCATGGGAGTCTGGTGGTGTCAGGTGCGTGCAGTACGGTGTAAAGGACAAAGCAAATGACTTGGATAAGCCACCCACGTCCCCACCCCAGCAAACTGCCTGCTGTGGGAAGTGCTGTCAGCAGGCAACAGAGAGCTCAGGGCCTCCCCCATGGACCGCTCTTCCCAGGGCCGCCAACCCCACGGCCAACTGCAGTGGGGCACCGGGAACCGCCGTGAGGCCACGTGGTTCCAGAGCTCCCTGTCAGTCAGCTCTGCCCAATCCTGCTTCCTTTCTGCCCTTCCATGGACGCTGGCACCTAATCTACCAGACCCTGCTTCCCAAATCTATCTTAGCTTCCAGAGAAACCACCTTGTGACGAGGGGAGTGGACAGACCGAGGGTGAAGAGAGAGGTTTAGAAACTGCACGGCTCCCCAGCTGGCAATGAGGGACCACCCCCCAACAGGCCAGGTGGAGAAGCCACAGTACCTGGCACAGGCAGCCGTCCACGTGCTAACACTCTCACAGGTGAGGGGCAGGGACATGGGTGCAAGCAGAGGGGCAGCCGGGAGCAAGAGGCAGAGAGGGCTGAGACTTGGCCTTAGCCCCTGGACTTGTCAGCAAGAGTGGACAAGCTCCACCCAGGTTAATCAGCCACTGGAGGAGGGTCTGTCAGCTTGTGAGGGGTGGGGAGGTACCCTAGAACTTGGTATAGGCGCTTCTGGGTGAATGCCCCCAACTTTGAAGTCCAGCTTCCTCTGATCCCGAGCCTACGGACATGGCCCACCCATCCCTATCAGAACACGTAAGCCCCCCTTGCTAGAAGATAAGGCAAATATCTCTCAGCAAGGCAACACTGCCCCCCAAAACCTGCCCCATCCCCTCTCCTGGCGTCAGGCCTGTAACTCGCCTCTTCCCTGAAACGGGCTGCACGACCCAGCCAAGGGTGCAGGTGGGAGCTGTGAGAAAACACGAGGGCCTGGATTCTCAGGGCGCCTGACCTGGGGCCCAACCACAAGCTGGACAGGAGATTCACTGACGTGGGGGCTCTCCTGCGATACTGATTTGGCCCTGCTAGGTTCCCAGGAGATGGTCTGACCTGGCTGCTGGGATGGCTACTGGAAGCACGAGGGAGGTGGGGGCCCTGCTGAGTGAGGCTGAAAGGCCAGGGCTGAGTAGGGAGGGGTGGGACAAGATGCATATGGAGCCTGTGGTCAGTGCCAGAGGGAGGAGGGCAGCACAGCCGGTGGGGCCATCCACAGCAGGGAAGGGCATGCCTGGAGTGCTGGCTGGGACTGGGAGAGGCAAAGCGCCCGACCACGGGACCCCACATGACCACATGTGGGGAGTGACCACCACGAGCTGAGTTCCATCAGCCCCACAGGCGCAAGGTCAGGCAGGGCCCGCGGCAGATGCACAGCTGGGCTTGGCAAGCTCCAGAGGGCATGGGCCGGCAGCCTAGACCCCTGCGTCACCCCCAGACCCTTGAGTACCTGCGCCCTGCCTCAGCTCATACCTACAGCCATGGGGGGACTCCCTGTGACCGAGTGTGGCCTGTGGGTGGGTTGGCTCACTGGGTGGATGGGCAAGCCAAAAAGGGGACAGCAACTTCACCAGAGCCTCATCCAGCAGGCCTCAAAGAGAATGTGGTGAGGAAAATGCCCCCACTGGGGGCAGATGCACCTGGTCACCCCCTGGTGTAGAAAAAAAAGTGGATCAAGGTTAGAATAACACTAGCTGCCAGCAGGGGTGGGTGTCCTGGACAGAGGCGTGTGGTGGGTGGAGGAATGGGAAGCGTGCAGGTTGCTGTCTCACATTAATGTCCACCTGAGAGCATCCGCCATGGAGGGGGCACTGAACAGCTTTGAGAGATGGCTGGTGGTCGCTGGCCACCCAGGGCTGGCCAGAGGGGCCTCAACAGCACAGTCTCTGACTTACCAAAGGCTGATGCAGTCGCTGTTGCTACTGAGTGTCCAGCCTGCCAGCAGGAGATGCCAATGTGATCGGCCCACAAGACACCATTCCCAGGGAGGCCCGCCTGTGGGCGCTGGGCAGCACGCTGACGGCTCCAACAGGCATGGGCATATCCTCTGGGTCTGAGTCTGCCTGTCCCACCTGCAGATCCTCAGGCAGCATCACTCTCTGTGGCTATGGAAGGTCTAGTCCACCAGCATGGGGTGCCTCAGGGTGGTGCGTTGTGACCAGAACACCAGCCTCACAGCAAAGACCATGTCAGGGGACAGGACCCGAGAGTCCTGTGGCTAAGTCACATATAGCACCTGCCACAGCCGCCAGCCTGGTAGGGCGTCGGCACGGCCTGAGAGGTGCCAGTTTGGAGGTGGCTCCATGATGGTGGGCAGCAGCGTTTTCTGATTTGTAGCACATACAGTACAAAGACCTCTATCTGGAAGGACACGTGGCCTGGGAAATGGGATGCAGGCCGGTGCTGCTTGTTCCTCTCCTGATCAACTATAGCAGTTAAGTGGACAAGTGCAGCAACTCTGAGCTGGGCACAGTGAGCAGGCCACAGATCCCTTGGGGGTGAGTGTTTTAGCATTTGGGCGGCTGCTGAAGCCAGCAGAGGTGGGAGCTATGGGTGAGGGGAACTACCCTGGGGTGTGAGAAGGTGAGGAGCAGGGCAGCTCTGAGACCAGTGCGGCACTGGGGGACACAGTCTGGCCTAGTCACCTTCCTCCTCCTCTCTTGTATTCCTTTATTTTAAACGTTCTGGTTTTCAAGTACGTTTAGATGCAGGAAGATGATAAAAGTAGTACAGAGTTCCCATAAACCTTCAGGCAGCTCTCCCTAGGTTAAAAAATGTCACATAACATCTTAAGATGACCAAAGCCACTGACAATGTGCTAGTCACTCAACTACAAACATGATGTGAATTTCACCAGCCTTCCCACTCTTGTCCTTTCTCTGGCCCAGGAGCCCATCCTGGGTCCCTGATGTTCTGAGCTGTCGTGTCCCCTTGGTCTCCTCCAGTCTGAGACGGTTCCTCAGTCTTTCCACGTCTTCTCCGACCTTGGCGCTTTGGTGGAGCACTGCGGGTGTCTGCAGACTGCCCCCCAGTCTGGGCCTGACGTTCCTCATGATGAGACTGAGCTGCTGCACCTTCAGGAGAAATCCCACGCAGCGACGAAGGCTGTGTTCCCCTCAGTGCTTCATGTTGGCTTTTGTCTTATTTCTGTGAACTCTGACCACTCGGCAAGGTGGTAGCTGCCAGGTTTCTTTACTGTAAAGTTACTATTTTTCCCACTGCAAATAATGAGAGGATCCAAATATCCTTTTTCTCATCACACTTTTACCCACTGATTATAACATCCAGGTTAAACATTTCAGGTTCTGGCCTGCAAGTTATTGCTGCCTAATCTTCTTCCTCTAAGTTTCTCCCAGAAAGAAAGCCCCTTGGAACCTGAAGGAGCTGGCCCCCAAAAGGTGCATCAATGATCTGAATGGCCCTGGGGTGAACTGTGGTGGACATGGAACTGTGCTGCCATGATCGCTCCTGGGGAGGCCTGGCTGCCTGGCTGCGGGTGCTGCTGTTAGCAGACGGCCACAGGGCGCCTTTAGGGATGCCCTCAGCTGTAGGGAGCCACCTCGTCCAGGGTGCAACGCTTCCCGCACATCCCACCCCTAAGGATGATGGGCATAGTATCACTTTGACCTCTTCCTCTGTGCGGTCCTGCTTCCTTCCCATCCCTTCCACAGGTACTGACTACCTGCTAATTCTCCACGTGCCAAACTCATCTCAGTGTCTGCTTCTGGAGAACCTGACCTGTGACACCACCTCCTGCCCTATTTCAAGGACTAGAGAATGAGATGTGAATAACTGCTTGATAAATCACAAGCTACAATACAAACACAAACTACTATAATGAACGGATTAAACAGTTAAAGAAATAAAAACACACAATTATATGGACGACAACCCTCTAATCCTATGTAACTTTGCTCCCTCTTAAAATTGCCTTCTCTTAAAAGTGCAGTTTTTAAGTTATTAGGTGAAGAACTTTTCAATTGCAAATTGTTGGTTGGGTTACTGATTGGGTATTTACTAACAGTAGATATCCATGTGAATTATGCAAAGTGGTAGGCTCCTCAGTGAATGAAGTCCTTCTCTAGGGAATGATGCAACAAAGGTCAACAACGTCTATGAACCCAAATCTGAATTACAAGATGGAAAGTCCCCACAGAATGACACACTGTACAGCTTTAGAAAAACAATAACCAAACTAGATTTCTTCAGGAAGCTTTCTAGAATGACTTTTTTTTTTTTTTTTTAAAAAGGTACTCACAGATGCTCCTCCCATTATCTTGGGAAACATAACGGTAGAACAGCCATCTGGACTCTGTCCGAAGGTGGTATAGGGTGTTTGAAACCAAGCCTTTTCATTAGCCCAAACCACATCGCAAAGAGGCAATATAGATGCTCCTAGACCAATGGCTGGGCCATTGACTGCTACAATAATGGGCTTCTTAAATTGAATGAAAGTATTCACGAAGTTTCTAAAATGAAAAATAAATGGGGAATTACTCAAAACATTGCATATTTGAGCAAAGGAAAAGTCTATTATGGAATTCAATTTACCAAGATGTAAATGCTACGGAAATCCTGAAGACTTGAGATTTGTTTAAGGCCTTCCCCAGCAGTTGTGGACCCTAGACTTATTTACTACGTGTTGTAAAGGTTTGGTGACAGCCTGGAGCCCACGCATGTAGTGGCTGTCACTACAGGCCCTACGTGAAGGCCACAGGGTAACATGCAGCCATGAGCTGCACTGGAATTTGCAGGTGGCTCTCGGGCTCTATAAACAACACATCTTGCTCCCCAACCTGTCTTCCCTCGAAGACACAGGAGCCCAGTACATATTCTGGGCTTCACAAGACAAATCAAGAAGCTGTCACAGAGGAAATCTGGCCCAGGGCATACTAAGACTGCCTGGTGTTAAGTGTACGGTGGTGGATTAGGGTTCACAAAAACCCTGGGATCTGGGTCTGGCCTTGGTTCATGATTTCAGACAGCTCACTGATTATCTGGCAATAATTGCTATTTCCTGAGTTTATGTGGAAGTGGACTGAACAGTCTGGGGGATACAGAGACAAGAGTGTCACAGGCTGGCTCAAGACATGCGACCTGCAAACAAGAAGAGCAAACAGCACAGGGCTCAGGCCTGTACCCACATCCTGCTCCACTGAGGGCTGGAGGGTACGGCTGCAGCAGGAGTTCGGAGGACAGTGGGGTCAGGCGTGGGGCAGCCTCTGCACAGGACAGAGGTTTAATAAATCAAGCCCATGCTATTTTGGGATTTGCTTTAGATCAGGCTGGAAAAGTAGGCTGCTTTTCAATGTAGGGTAGCTTGGTGTCATACCACTTTAGGAATGTGCATTTTCTTCCCCTAAATACTAGAAGCTGATCTTATGCTCAGAGGTTGTTTCTTGTTATGATTTCACACAGTGGAGAAAAGAAGAAACACAAGATAGTCCCTTCAGTGCAGGCTGAGTTCTAGATCAGAAGTGCAGAGTAAGGACAGCTTTTCACTTGCTGGATTCTAAACCTGACCCCCATCTTTAATACTGAAAATAACAATCTAGATGCTCTCTACAATTCAGCAATTTAAAACCACAGCAATCTGTTCAGATCTTCTCTGAAAATCATGACTCAGCATCTGAGATAGCTCCCCACTCAACTCCCCGAGACACTGACGGATGACTCATATTTTTTGGCAGGGGCAGGTCAGGGAGGTGAGGAGGGTTGTGTCTGTGTGTGTATGAACAGGAGAGTGAGGAATTGCAGAGTTTAGCGGCTGGACCTCAGCCTAGCCCCCAAGGTTTGTGGGATCTTTGCATTGAGCAAGAATTAACTCATTCAAATGAATGAGTTGCACTAAGTCTTTCTAAATGAGAGAGCCTGAGGCATTCTTAGAAAGATCACACTGGGGTTTAATGATCAGAGTGTCAGACAACCTTTTAAGCAGACTCTTGAAATAAGCCTAGAAGAACTACATGAAGCTATTTCAGTTGTGTCATCTTTTGAAGATATGGGGTCAATGACACAAGATGGAAATACATTTCCTAGGCCCAGTAACTGATGACTCATGAAAAGGTAAAACTGCTGAACTGTCTCTCAATGATAAGGAACAGCTGTTTCCAAAATCTGAGTAGCTCCAATTTCATCTGCCTTATGGAACAGAAGGCAAACTGTTATAGCCGTTGCCCAGGCTGACATCTGGAAACCACGGATGGGGCAATAAATTAACATAAAAGCGATGATCAAAGTCAAGGTAATAAGAAGGTAATTCTACAGAAAAACAGTAAAAGGAATTATTTCATATATCCTTGCCTCCATGCCCATATATTTGTATAAAAAAATCTGCTTCTAAAATATTAATAGATATTGGTAAGTCGAAACTTAGATTTTGATAGGCTGAAGGCATTTTTTGGAACTGAAATTTTATTTTTACTTTTGCCTGGAATGGTGACTTCACCTGAAGCTGGTGGCTCTTTCTGGACGGGGTATGAATGAACCAGCATGCTCTGGAGCAAAGAGCCCCTTCCCTTTTCAGGGAATGGGAACTGGCCATTCTGAATAGTGAGCCCTGAGATGCCAGAAATGGATGTGGTGCACACAGAGACTCGTTTTGTTTTAAAAAAGAAAACCTTTACAGAAATGCTTTCTCTGCCTAGTAGAAACTTCCCAGGACCATAAAGGCTTAACCAAGGGAGCTGCAAATCAAGGCACAAGGAACCAGAGGCGAGGCAGGGGCTGCCTTCAAGCCTGGGACGGTCCTCTCCCAAGTAGCCCCTGCTTCTGTGGGCTTCAGCCAAGTGTGTTTTAAACTTGAAATCAAAATGTATGAACACTCAAATGTTTGCCATGCAATGTACTGAAGTTAAATTTGTTTCTTTGGAATTGAATTCAAGGCTGTTGTTGGGTATGGCAGGGAAGGAGGCTGATATTTGCCACATAATTAGTCTAAAAAGACTTTATAATTAAACAAAACTCTTCCTTTAAAGGACATTTACTAATCTGGAAATATCAAACAGCTGGAAAATCACATAAGATGTAGGGACTGTCAAAGGAACGTTTGGGGAGAAGGAGGCAGCAGGGACCTGAAGTTGGGCAGCCAGTGTGCTGCTTTCCATGGCTGAGGTCTCTCTCATTTGAATGGCACCTTCGTTTGAAGGACTAATGGGGTACAGGTCAGGGTCATGGGGCATGTTTACTGGCTCACTTTGTTCTCTCCCAAATCCTCTTGCCCCTGGGGCACTGCTTGGGCAGGGCCCCCGGTCTCCCTCTGTGGGAGGAAGAAGAAACCTCACTTTTGGGGAGAGAAGTCTCCTGGTCCTTAAAACCCAGTGGCAGCTACTGGTTCTGGCAGACTTCAAAAGCCTAATGCTGTCCATGAACTTGAAAGAATTTTGTTCTAACCACAAAGGTGCAGAATATTTTTGTTGCAATTACCCTGCAAACTGCAAACCACGAATCCTCGTCACAAAGTCAGCTGCTCTAGATACCTGGTGACCTAATATGAAACCTCATCTTCCTGTTTGCTTCCCGCTTTTCCTTTGGAAACTTGCTACGATGAAGTCCTTTGCCTCCAAGTTTTAAGGAACATGAGACAAGACACCAGAGAAATGAAAAATATACACAGGAAGAGCTTTTATCCACATAAAAATTAATTTAAATGCAAATAAGAAAAGGAAAGGTTAAGTGACTCTGGTGTAACTAATTATTTTTCTGATCTTGCCAGACTACATTAAGGAAAATTCACATTGACAAAAATATAGTCACATAAAGAAGAAACAAGTTGGTTTTCCTAAAGCAGGACTTGGCTCTTCACAAGAATATCAATCCAGCTTTTTGTGTGGAGTAGGGAGAGTGGACGGAGCAGGGAGCTGATGAAAGTGAACTTTTAAAGTGACATCAAGTTCAACAAAGGAGATCTCCACTTAAACCTGGCTGGATCTAGCTTTCCTCTGCTTTTACTGATCCCAGCGCCACAAGCCCACAGCCTCTGTCCAAGGGAATTCAACGCTGGAGGGAGGAGTGAGCTGCACCCGGCGAGGCACCAGCGGGCTCACAAGTGGAGCCAGGGAAAAGCCTACACGGGAAAACGGAGCCAGGACCCAGAAGGCACTGGCTGACACATCCGATTTTCTTATGACCGCAGAGCTACCAAAAAGCACAATATTATGTGTACATTCAGCGTGATATTATGGAGAACATGCAAAGTGACCATAGGAGGCATGGTGGTTTGTATTTTAAAAATAAAAGTTAAGTTCATGGAATTCACCCTGAATGGATAATAATGAAGCTGTCTTAGAGGCGCTGAGAGTCAGCCAAGGATTTATGACACTGATCAAGCAGTTTAATCTTAAACTGAAGAACAAGATGGTCCCACCTAGTGTACCACAGGGATGAAATCCCCTAGGAGATTAGAAACAATACTTAATAAGATCAGACTATAAAATTTCAAACCACTTCTGAAAAAAACCACACATAATGTGATAGCCTGTAAAAGGTAACATTCAAAAGATTAAGGGATAACCTCCTAAATACATGTGTACATCATATGAGAAAATATAGTAATTCTGAAAATGATTAAATATGTCATGAGAGGCTAAGGCAATCCCCTTCAACCCAGAGGTGTGGGTTCCAGGACTCCTGTGATGGGCTGTTTGGTGCCCATCAGAGCCATCTTGGGTGTCAGTCAAAGAAAGACGTCCCTGCCTACCCCAGACTCAACAAAACAGAAAAAAGAGCCCCCCTACCCACCACACCAATCCTGCTGTGCAAGCTCTAGAAGGGTTTAGGTGCTAGAAAGCCCAGTGCACCAAGGGCAGTGCTCAGCTGGAGCCTAGTAACTATCAAAAGTAGTTCAACTTCAGCCCTCCAGAAATCTGGGATTTTGGAAAAGATCCAACTTACTTTACTGCCATTTTGCCAGTCTACGTTTTCTTTCATTTTTCATCCTCTGTAAGTTAAAAAGGCAAGCACAAAGGGTTTATGGGGGCCACCTGGGGATATGTCATTTTAGGGAGGTGAGTAGAGAAGCATAGCCAACTTTCATGTTGATGACTAGGTTTCATCCATTTTAAATAAAATTCATCTCCGAAAAATCAGACACTTCTAATTATACATGGAGTGATTAGCATGATAAATGAGGGGATATGATTTTAGACGAATTAAGTGGTTTTAGAGAAAGTTTTGCTGATATATGTTATCATATAGCAGAGGAAAATCCAACAACCAAGGAAATAGAAATATCTCAAAGTCATATTGTCACATGAAAAAAGCAAGTTGCAAAGCAACAACAGAACTAAATTGATACTATTTGTGTGTATATATGAAATAAAAATTTGAAAATGCTTAGATCAAGACATCTATTGTACATCATGGTGACCACAGTTAATGTATTTTTATACTTGAAAATTGCTGAGAGTAGATTTTAAGTGTTCTCACCACACACACAAAATAGTAAGTATGTGAGGTAATGCATATGCTAATTAGCTTGATTTAACCATTCCACAATGTATTCGTGTTTCAATACACCATGTTGTACACTATAAGTATATACAATTTTTACTTCTGAGTTTAAAAGTAAGTCTAAAAAATTAAACTGAAAATTATAACAAAATGTTCAGAAAAAGGTTGGGGAAGACACACCAATGAATGTTGGATACCTTGAGGGGAGTGAGGGACAAGGAGGACTTCTGCTTTTTATTTCCTACTATCTGGTTCTCTGTCCAGTTGGAACTTAGGATGAAACTGAACAAGAATGTGCACTACTTGTATTTAAAGAAACAAAAAAAAAAAACAACAAAAAAAACCAAAAAACAAAACTCTCCATGTGGTGTTACGGAGCTATCTCATCATAAAGCCTAGACAATTTACTTCAGAGTCGAGCAAATGGTAACTTACTATTTGGAAGAGATCTTTATCTAGGGGTTGAGGACAGAACATACTCACGGCACAAATAATAGGAACTCTGGCTACCCATGATCATCTACTCTAATCATCAGAACATTCTCCGAACACTTGCAGGGTTTAAACCAACCTTGAAATCAGTTATCTGCCCAAGGCAAGTAGTAATTCATGGCAGGCCCATAGAAAAGATTTTGCCCAAGGCAAGTAGTAATTTATGGCAGGCCCATAGAAGAGACAGATGATTTAATTAATTTTGCTGCTCGTGTCTCTCCATGGGAGAAGATGTGTATCTTATTCTCAAGGCTTGGTCAGGCCCATTCTATCAGGATTGGTTTACCAAAAACAAAACACCCAACCAATGTTTAAAAAACATCATTTTTACATACCTGATAGCTTCTGCCATTTTAGTGCTTTCTCTTTTCCTGTCATCTGTCAGACGTCGTATAAAATAAATAAAGTCAAGTCCACAACAGAAGACGCTGCCAACGGCGCTGAGCAGTACCAGCTTGCTGTCATCGGCAGCGGCCGTGCTCAGAGCACTCTGGACTTCTCTCATTACCTGAAAGTCACCAGAAGTTAAAGTGGCAAAGAATATTTTGGGTTTAAAATCTTAAAGCATTTTTTTTTTTGGAGAGAGTCTCACTCTGTTGCTCAGGTTGGCGTGCAGTGGTTTAATCAAGGCTCACTGTGCTCTCTAACTCCTGGGCTCAAACAATCCTCCCGCCTCCGCCTCCTAAGTAGCTGGGACTACAGGCTTGTGCTATCATGCCTGGCTCATTTTTCAACCTTTTTGTAAGAGATGGAGTTTTGCTATGTTGTCTAGGGTGGTCTTGAACTCCTGGGCTCAAACAATCCTCCCGCCTCAGCCTCCCAAGTAGCTGGGACTATAGGCTTGTGCCATCATGCCTGGCTCATTTTTCAACTTTTTTTGTAGAGATGGAGTTTTGCTATGTTGTCTAGGATGGTCTTGAACTCCTGGGCTCAAGTGATCCTCCTGCCTTGGCCTCCCAAAGTGCTGGGATTACATGCATTAGCCACCGCACCCTGCCTAAAAGCATTTTATTACTGGAGAATCTGCATCTGTGAAAAATGCATCATAGCCTGATACAGTTACTGATATCTACCATGATTTTAATTAATTTGCAAATGTCTCATTTTCTGTAACCAGAGATTGAGATGCTGGGGATGGAGTAAAATATAACTACATAACTCGAGTATAATTAAAAAGACATGGGAATCTACGTTATCTTAGTATTTATACAGCCATTGCGGCTCTTAGATAAGGCAAATTGCGGCTCTTAGATAAGGCAAGTTGCTTATTATATCACTGGGCATTTCTCCAGTTTGGACAGCAGGTGGCACATTCAAACCAGTTGAAAGAAACTCATTCAGTTCTACTGTTTTTTGTTTTGTTTTGTTTTAAAAACTACCCTATTACACTTGGGACAGAAAATAGTTTGGTGCGTAAGTGCGTTAAGTCCAAGCACATTAGCATGGACTGGTAATTTTAGGGCATAAAATCATTTTAAATGATCTCTGTGAAGCATTTAAAAATAATCAATGAAGGGACTCTGCAGTCTAAAAATGTACCAAGGACCAACTTTGAACTGGTTTGTTATGTGACCCCGGGCGAACACACAGACTTTCTGTAGTTAAGTTTTCTTGTCTGGACAAAACTCAACCTAGCTACTCACAAACTACTAGGACTTAAAATTTTGGAAAGATATAGGTTAGGTTCAAATACTCCCGATTCTAGAAACTTCACAAAATTCATGTTCTAACCTTTCCAACAACCAGTTCTGGAAAACTTACTTACTAGGCACTATCAGCAATGAGCATGTGTGGAAATCCCTGTTGCTGTGTGTTCTGCTACAACCGCTGAGGAGTATCTGGGGACTGGAAAGATGATAAATATTCTGAAGGGACTGGGATCCCCGGGGGCACTTAAATTCTGTCTGAACAAAGAACCCTTTAAGGATCTGATGAAAGCTAAAGCAAAGCGCGTGCACACACATTTCCCACGTGCCTTCATGGAGCCCCGTGCCCGCCAGATGAAGAGCTTCCAGGCAGGAGGTGAACCACAGAGGCACAGAGGCCTGGGTGGACCCACACCCGGGAGAATGGGGATGGACACTCAGCACAGGCCAAGCATCCTGAATTCACGGCCATTGGAGGTGGGACATGGAGCAAAGCCCGCAACTTCCCCTCTGCTCCCTCCCTTCTGGTGGGCATCGGGAGATGGCCCAAAAGGAGGTTTAGAAAGAGCACAGGAAGAGCCAGTTCAGCCAGGCAGGCCTGGAAATCAGGCAGGGAGAAGCGCGAAGCCCACGCCAGCCCAAGAGCGCCTCTCACCTCTGGATTTAGTGAGTTATTCTCTGAGGACTTTGTGGATAACAAGATGTGGGTGAAGCCATCCTGCTTCCTGACCACAATATCTCTGTATCTGTAGGCACTTTCTGTTTGCCTCACGCTGAAACGCAATCGCTTGTCAAAAGGCTGGTCTCTTCTGTCGTCAATAAATTTCCTTTTGCTGGCAGTCACTCCTGTAACAGATGTCTGTATGTTGGTTGTCCCATTGGCTGTTAATGCATCCATGAACGGAGATGTACCTGCCGAGAGTTTGAAATCACAGTAGTCTGTGATGTCCCACCACCAGTTCACTCCCAGGTGTCATCTTTGAATTGGATAAAGATGTTCATTACACACTTAGGATTAAACGAATATAAGAATATTAAAACTTAGAACCTTTAGAAAGCCAAAGTCTACTTTTAAAGCCACTTGCTCTCTTTCAAGCTCTGACAAGAAAGTCACTCTTTTGTTTCACCTTGCCTAAAAAATACAGATGGAGAGGTACTTATTGAAAGGAAGCTACATAGTTAGAGATTTTTTTAAAGGACAGAATCAAGACAGAATGGGTCTCATGGAGAGTATCTATTCCAGGTTTGAGAAGCCGAAAGAAAAAAGGAAAATAATCAAGAAAACATCTTATTATTAGAGTCAAGGCCATCTAGTCGAAACTTCTTTTTCCAAATGCAAGATAAACTGGATAGACACGTGGATGCAGCCAGCCTTCTCTGCGGGTCATAGAGCTGTGTGGCAGCCACCACTTCAGACCACCACCCCTGTGGGACACTCAGGAGTTGTTTCTAGCTGCCCTGGGAGGGACTATCAGAAAGTCCATCTACTTGTTCCAGTTCCACTCCTTTTTCAAACAGCCCTGTTAAGCAGCTGAAGATAGCTCTCCTCTCCCCCACCACATAAAGCATCCTGCCAACGTTCCCTCGTATGTCACAGCTCAACAGCAGCAACTGTGTTTTGCCAGGGTCTTGAGATGGGGTCTTGCTATGTTGCTCAGGCTGGTCTCAAACTCCTGGCCTCAAGTGATCCTCCTACCTTGGCCTCTCAAGCAGCTGAGATGTACAGGCATGAACCACTGTGCCTGGTTAAGAATGCAAATAATTATCCTCCTGTCTGTATGAATTGTCCAAATATGATCCAATGTGGTGATGAATGTAGAGTGGATGGGGAAAAAAGGAATGAAATGTAAGAAAACTAGATCAGACTTTACTAGTAGCATTAGCAATGGCAGAAGTTCTCTGAGGGCGGAGCATGAAGAATTATGAATCAGAAATATTTCCTCCAAAGTGAAAGAGAATAAGCCAAAGCCACCAGAAAACTCATGAATGGACATTTCAGAGGAGCCAAATAACCTCCCTGGCAAAACAACCTGACTTTCATTCAACTGGTGGAAATAATATTTTAATTGCTAGAGGTTTTTTTTTAATTATATTTTTGAAAAATTTAAAGAGGTTATAATACATACATATGGTTCAAAAACCTAAGAATATAAAAGATATTAAGGTGAAAGCCCCCCACAGCCTGATCCTGTTTACACAGGATCCCCCTGCCCTCTTAGCCACTTGGGCTGGGTTCTCAGGGGCCCCTCCAGAGTATCTCCATGGATATACAAGAAAACATCAATACAGACTTCTCCACCACCCTGGCTTTTAAAAGCACAGATGGCAGTACACTAGATGTAGTATAAGATGCTGTATCTTATACATTGTTGTCTTGCTTGTACATATATAAGATATACACATTGTTACATCTCATGGTTATTCCTTCCACAATATCTTAGAATGGCTCCTCTATCAGAACATAGCTTCCTGTTCTTTCCTAAGGCTGCGTGGCAGGCGAGGCCCAAGGTAGGGATGCACTGTAATTCATTTTCCAGTTCACACTGCAATACGCACTACTATTCAGTGACTTGTCGATATGACCAACAACACAGTGACACATAATCCTGACCTCTGTCATCCCAGTGCTGTCAAATCTCTACAAGCTTCCAAAGGACTTGTAGCCTGGAGTAGTTCTAACTGGAGACCACTGGGTCGGATGTTACCAGTCAGCAAAGGTGTTGCTGAGTCCTTCTGAGGGACTCAGGAAAGACTTTTTCTTTTAACCTCCATCCTCTACCCTACCAGATCCTTCTCCCATCTTTGTTTAAAAACGTTTGACAATCTCGTCTCCCCTCAGGAACCCTCTCTAATCTGTTCCTCCAGTCTCAGTCCCATCACGGCCTCACCTGCCTGCACTTGCTGTCTTCACCTCTCCCTCTGTCCATCATTCTTCAACCCATTCAACTGGGACCCAGAGTCCACATGGCCAGGAACCTTCTGAGTCTAGAGAAATGGATGCTGGATGACTCTAAACATGTGAGCCTGGGGGAGCGGAAGAGGGGCTTCCACAGGGCAGCCTGGAGTTGCTGAGGGAGGAGGCGAGGGAGAGATGCTTGCTCCTCCAGGGTGAGCATCCAGGTGGAGATGTGCATAGCCCAAAGTGCACATCTAGATCAGGGGAGGGAAGTCAGGGTTGGAGAGAGGTACTTGGGGTTGGTGCCAGAAATGGCTGAACTGACAGTATGAGCTCCCAGGGGAAGACTGAGACAGAGAGTGAGCCTGCTGAAGCCAGCTGGGAAGTGCTGGGGAGGGGCGCAGGCAGAGCCAGGAGGCAGCAGAGAAGCAGGAAGGCAATAATAACTGGTTTCCTCAAAGGAAGGAGAGCAGGCCACAGCAGTGAGGATGTGTCTGCAGGGGCAGGTGTTACAGAGGTGGAGGAGAATGCAGAAGAGGCGACGCAGGGAGAAATGAGAGGCCACTCGTAAGCATGGGCAATGCTTCACTATGGCGTGAAGAGTGGAAGCCAGACCACAGGACACAATGAAAGACAACTAAAAATCGATCAATAAAAACACACGTGGGCACAGCAGTTGTTAAAAGTGCAGGTGAGATGACATTGCCACTTAGGTGACAGCCGACAGCAATGATTTCCCTGCCTAAAAAGAGACCACACCAGAAACAATGCTGTGCAGATGCAGGCAGAGGCTACGTGACACGGTGCTGGCATGTTGGGACAGGAGACAGACGTGGAGACTCTGGGCATTCTAAGAAGGGGGTTCCTTCAGACTACACATGCCAGCAGCTGGTAATGCCAAGTGAGAGCTCCTGGGTCTTTAAGAGTTCCTCAACCTGAGCTGGATTTTTCAATTGCTGCTATATCCAAGCACAAAAAGCAGCATCCTGGCAACACAGGGAAGGCCTGGTGCCATGGCCCAAATGCCTGTGTCTCACCCAAATTCCCGTGGGGAAATCCTCACCCACAAGGTGATGGTCTGAGGAGGTGGGGCCTTTGGGGGGTGATTAGGTCATGGGGGTGGGGCCCTCATGAATGGGATGAGTGCCCTTATAAATGAGGGCCGACACCCCCTGGCTCTTCTGCCCTGTGATGATGCTGCAGAAAGGTGCTATTTGTGAACCAGGAAGTGAGCCCTCAGCAGACCCTGAACCTGCTGGCACCCTGATCTTAGGGTTCTCTCCAGAATTATGAGGATAATTAACACAATAATTCTGTTGTGTATTTACAAGCCACCCAGTTGATGGTATTTTGTTAAGGCAGCCCAAATGGCTAAGAAACCTGCCTCCCACCAGGGCAAAGCTGGCTGGCTTCAGGTCCACTCTCCCCACCTCTGGAATGCTCTTGCTTTCACTGGGTCTTTCCTTTCTCTACGTAAAGGTCACACATTCCTTAAACTCTCCCAGCAGTTTTCCTGGTGGCTTCCTTCCACCGAAGCAACATTTCTAGGCCATGGAGCCCATGCAGCCTTTATACGTGAGTCTCAGAAACAGCTTCAGCATTTTCTTTGAGGCGATAGTCCCTACGAACTATCCGTGGTTCTGCTAATTTAAAAATGGATTCATTTTGGCTCACGCTGACCAAGACTACTGAACTTGGCCTTCAGACTCCTGAGTTAAAACTGTGTTGGCTCCTCGTGCCAGTGAGGTCCCTGCTCATTTCAGACTCTGTGATCTTGTTGGAGCTTCAGCGACCACACCCCACCCCAATGTAATTCCTGGCACTCCCTGTTACTCATCTGAGTAGGGCATGTGACACTGAACTTTGCACTATTTAGGTAGAGAAGTATTCACAGCAGGATCGAGTCTTGGAGTCACAGGCTGCCAGCACTGACTAGGACCCTGATCATCACATATGCCCCCTACTCAAGACAATCATGCCACAGTGTTCTCACATCACCCGGGGTTCTCATGTCACCCAGGGTTGTGCCCATCTCAGGACCTTTGCATGTGTTCTTCCCTCTGCCTAGAACGCCTATGACCTGGAATTCAAATGGCCAGTTTCTTCTGCTCATCTGGACGGCAGCTCAAATTTCAGCATCTCAGACAAGCCTTCTTGGGCCTCCCATCCTAATGCTGGTCCCTGCCATCAGCACTTCATATCACCCTGGTTTATTTCCTTCAAAGCACCCATGAAAGTTATTTCTTTCTCATTGTATTTTTATTTACAGTATCATCGATGTACTCCACCAAGCTGTGTAAGAGCAGGGTCCTCGCCTGTCTTATCCACCCATCCCCAGTGCATACAACACTCAGTACATGTTTACTCAGTAAACTCATGGAAAGGGTCTTCAAGTCTCTTTAGTCCAGATCCCTCAATTTAGAGACAAGTAGCTAAGTGACTGGCCAAGTGTCACACAGCTCATTACCTCAACCCAAGCCAGGGATGGTAAGCTCCACACTTCAGAGCAGAAGTAGCTGCTAATGACTAAACAAATGGTAAACACTGAGATTCAGAAAAAAACCGCCCCCCTCACCCCAAACTGTGGAAATTAGTGCGACTCCCCTGGAACGATGACTCTCATCGTTGACACGGGAGTACAAGTTGCCTCTGTGAACTGAGAGTTCCTTACGGATTTGGATTCAGAGTACCAAGGCTTTCCTAGGATTTATTAACATAACATTCGACTAGGAAAGAAACCTATTTTAGTATCTCTTGCAGTAATTGATTTTCTTTTAATATGTTCAAGAGCAAAAAGGATATCCTCAAATACATATGGCAAATCTGTTAAATATCACTGCTTCAAAAACTGCAAGTCTCTAACAATGACTTGTGACACCCTCTTCCCACCTAAAGAGAACAGCGTCTGTACTTCTTCACCTGCCACTGATAGCTAGGAAACTGAATAAAATAGACATAACAACTGTTTGCAGGCACTGGACCACAGGCTGTGCAGGGCAATGTTCCCAGAGTGAAAGGAGACAAACATGGTGAGCCTAACAGTCCACCCGCCTTTCCACCGAAAGCAGCTGCCACAGTGCAGGTGCAGGGATGGGAAACCCAGACATAGCTGGCAAAAATGCTGTCTTAGAACAGATGACTTGGGGGAGGCCCAGGAGGCTGTAATTTGTGAGACATGATATGGAAAAGGAGGAAGCTACATAGATAAAAAGTTCCAGAGAGCCTAGGGGATCCCTTTGAGTCTTTGCTGAACCAATCTGAGCATGCACAGGGAGAAATTCCACAAGGCTGGGCAGTGAACAACTTTTGAGGAAAGAACAATTACCAGAGACCTATAAACTGAATAATCTCAAGTCTGCCTAGGGCCGGAAGTCCTAATCAGCCAGAGCAGAGATTTCATCAAATACATGAGGCATTCAGTAGAGAGACCCCAGATCAGGCACATATCAGCAGTGGAACTAATCTAGCTCTAGAATAAAGAATACTTAAAATTTCACTAACAAAGCTTCAAAGTAAGCTGTGAAAGGATCAAACTGATATACAACTAACAATTTCCTGCCAGAACAAATCTAACACTTTAAAAAAGCATACAACAAAATCCAGCACCCCAAAATGTAAATCACAATGTTCATCAACCAACCATTACTAGATAAGCAAAAAAGTGGGAAAATAGGACCAGTGACTAAGATAAAATCAGTTAATAAAGACTAAAAATGAGAGATGATGGTATTACGAGAAAAGAACATCTTCAAAACTGTTATAATCTCAATGTGCTCAAGCATTTAAAGAAAAACATGAACATAATGCAGAAATGAAAGACTAGGAATAAAAATTTCATTGAATATGTTGAACCAATTAGATACTAAAAAGATCAGAGAACCTGAAGGCACAGCAATAGACAGGAGAAGAAACAGAAAAAACGATGAACCTGAGTGCCCTGTAGGACAATATTAAGCAGTCTAGCATATGTGTAATTTGAGTCTCAGAGAAGGGGTGTGTATGTATGTGTGTGTGTGTGTGTGTGTGTGTGTGTGTGTAAGTAAAACATTTGCAGAAATAATAGTGGAAAGTTTTCCATATTTGATAAAAACCAGAAGCTGACAGATTCAAGAAGCTTAAAAAATACTAACTATGATAAATACACACAAACCCCAAACTAAGGCCTATTATCATCTGCTGATAACATGAGAACAAAAAGATTACAGATAGAATAACAGATCAACTCAATACTTACATTCAGAAAGTATACAAGACAGAAGAAAATGGAATGGCACCTTTGAAGTGTATGAAGAGAAAAAAAAAAGCCAACCTATATACACAGCACAAATGCAGCATAAATGTCCTTCAAAAACAGAGGAGAAACAAACACATTTCTAGATAAAAGCTGAGAGAGTTTGTACCAGCAGGCCTGCACTGTAAGGAATGTTAAAAAATGTTCTTCAGGCAGAAGGAAAATAATACCAGACAGAAGCCTGAATACATTCAAAGGAATAAAGAGTATCAGACCAGTAAATATATGGGTAAAAATGAACCTGCACCAACTGCATATTAAGTGTAATTAACTAAATGTAGACAGTAGTAACTGCTTGGCCTCATCACTGAAACAATGTCTCCCCTGCTTTCATACCAACTTAACAAAAATGAATAAAAACCGCTTTGTACATACTATACAAATATATTAAAGTATCTTAAAAAAATGGCTATTCTTTGGAAAAATATAAATTCTCGAGACTGATCTTTGATGTAGCAGAAACAGAAAAAAAAGCAAGGAAAGAGAAAAAATAAAATCATTAACAAATTACCTCTTAAAACAGTTTATAGGCTATGCAGGTTAAGGAACAGCTGTGTAGTAACAAATAGCCTCTGACCACAGAGAAAAGAAAGAAAATTCATCCAATCTGTTTTGCAAAGATAACTTAACCCTGACTAGACACAAATGCCACAGAGCAAAACCACGTACCAATTTTACCCATTACTCATGGAAGCACAATCTTACTTTACTAATGGTTGACGGTTTATGTCAAAGGGCATTTTAAGATGTTGTGAGATAGCTTAGTTCAAGGGGAAGAATTGCAAAAACATACTAAACAACAGCATTTCTAGATTCTGGGAACTATTTAGAAAATAAACACACATTAAAAAGAAAACATCCATAATCCTGAACTAAAATTAGGAATAAACAACTTAAAAAAAATGGAATAAACAAACAGAAAACATCAAATTGTACTAAGAAACATAAAAAGACAGCCCCCCTCACACACACACACATACACACACAAAAGGTGTGGTGGGATGCCACCATTCTGGAGAACACCAAGCACTGTAAAGTGATTTCTCTTTCCCAATTTGAATTCTAGTAGACTTCCAATTAAAACCTTGGTGGTGAAGATTTAGCAGGAAGACAAGCTAAAATTTTTTTGAAAAGAATAATGAGTGAAATATGCCTAACTAGTTGTATATTACAAATCTACACGAAAAGCACAGTTCTAGCACAGGGGAAAATGATGAGCTAGAGGAAAATGATGAGCTAGAATCAGTTTAAGAACAGCTTCTATGATGAGGATACATGCATCATGAATCAATAAGCTGGTATAAAACATTCAATAAATAGCAAAAGTCTTGTTTAATAAAAAGCATAATAGAACATGTAAAGTTTCTAGACGGAGAAGAGCTTAAACATAAAAAGGAAAGGAAAAAGCTTAAAAAATTCTAGTACATAAAAATTGAAAATTTCACAGACGAAAAGCTAGTATTATCATTAAAACACTAATAACTGCAAAGCATAAAACAGATGTAAAAACACACACACAATGTTGGGTGTGTTGGCTCACGCCTGGAATCAATCCCACCACTGTAGGAGGCCAAGGCAGGTGGATCACTTCAGGTCAGGAGTTTGAGACTAGCCTGGTCAACATGGTGAAACCCTGTTTCTACTAAAAATGCAAAAATTAGTCGGGTGTGGTGGCGCATGCCTGTAGTCCCAGCTACTCAGGAGGCTGAGGCAGCAGTGAGCTGAGATCACACCACTGCACTCCAGCTTGGGCAACAGAGTGAGACTCCGTCTCAAAAGACACACACACACACACACACACACACACACACGTACAGTAAATTCGAATGATGGAATGAAAACACTAAAACATAAAAAATTGATCTGAGTTAAAAAAAAAAGACGTTCTTTCTACCTTCAGATTAGAAAACTTTAAAATATGGCAATTTAGGGCTAGCGAAGGGCACATATACATAAATCGGTACATTCCTAGAAAGCAATTTTGTAAGATGTGGCAATCAACCCCTGCCCTTATAATTCTACCTTTAGAATTTTACTCCTAAAACAGAAAGTACATGAGGATATGTTTTTACACACAAAAGGTATTCAAACAGCTTTACTTTTAAAATGGAAAAATTGCCAAAAGCCCTAAACTTCATGCCTAGTAGTAAGGAAACAGTGAAATTAATTATGGCACACGTGCACCTGACACGATATTATATAGCTATTATGCTTCTGAAGATTTTTAAAAATACGGGTCAATAAGTGCATCACAGCAGCTGCCATTTGCATCACACCTTACACATGCTGAGCTCCTAAGCATAAAATCGGATTCAAATCCCTGCAGCACACCTGAAAGGTGTGTGGTACCTGCAGATCTGATTCCCACGCTTGTGTCCTTCCACTGCCCATCCCCAAAATCATACATGAAAAAAATAAAAATGAAAGATAACAGAAGGGGTATGTGGACAGACAGATATCAACAATGTTTCCATGTGAGTTTATTAGGAATGTAAATTATAGAAATGTTAATATTGGCTCTTTATTGGTGAGAGAGACATAGAATAATTCTTATCCTCTTGCTATTTTGTGAATTTTTACAATATATTTGACATAATCAAGAAACCACTTGAAACTACACTACAGCATCCAAAATCCAGACAAAAATGTCTGGGATATTATTCTTCACTAGCTAAAGATTAACTGGTATTTCTCCGATTATATTTTAGTTTAGAATTGTCTAATCAAGAGTTAGCAAGTTTTAATGTTTTCAAGGCAGAAGGGTCTCAACTGCAAAAAGAGTTCAAAAACTGTTTTTAACCATCTTGGATATTAATGACCACTGTTGTCTTTGGTCTGAAGTTAAAAAGCAAGGACTATAGCATCTACAGAATTAATAGCTCTCCGTTTATGGAGTTTAATATTTCAAAATATTGTTATTTACATATATTGAACGTAATCCTATTCACCTATACAAAACCTTATAATTTTATTCAGATTACATAATCTGCAAATTTTCTTGAAGAACCATGTTTCATATGAACATGGAAGTAAATGCAGGCTTTAAACATCAATACCTCTTTTCTTCATAATGTGTTAAATAAATCCTTTACAAATAATTGTAAAAGTGTCTTTGCTCTAACTCCTTCACTTCCAGTTCTCTATCCATAGGGGTCTCCGAGTTAAAGGCTAGTCTAATTCTAGTAGACTTCCAATAAAAAACTCGGTGGTTAGGATTTAGCAGGGAGATAGGCTAAGACATTTTTGAAAAGAATAATGAATGAAATCTACCTAACTAGTTGTATGTTATAAATCTACATGAAGCGCATAGTTCTAGTACAGGGGAAAACGATGAGCTAGAATCAGTCTAAGAATAGCTCCTGCCGGGCTATTCTTATTCACAGAGATGTGTGTTCTCACATGCAAACCACAGGCAGGGCACAGTGAACAAAAGCAAGGATATGCGCCCGACCTCCTAGGCTCAGAAGCTGGCTCTGTCCTGGACTCGTCCACTCTCACCTACTCATCCATGCCTACTCTCCCAGCTGGAGGACAGTCTACTCTTCACCCTGTTCCCAGCACTTTAGGAGGCCGAGGTGGGCGGATCACGAGGGCAGGAGATCGAGACCATCCTGGCTGACACGGTGAAACCCCGCCTCTACTAAAAATACAAAAAAATTAGCCGAGTGTGGTGGCGGGTGCCTGTAGTCCCAGCTACTCGGGAGGCTGAGGCAGGAGAATGGCATGAGTGAACCTGGGAGGCGGAGCTTGCAGTGAGCCGAGATCGTGCCACTGCACTCCAGCCTGGGCGACAGAGTGAGATTCTGTCTCAAAAAAAAAAAAAAAAAAAAGAAAAAAGAATAGCTCCTGTAATGAGGACAGACGCATAACAAATCTATACAAGCTGGTATAAACCATTCAATATATAGTTCACTAAATGTGCTCATTCTTAGCCATCTCTAAGAAAGACATTGATATACCATCAGGACTTCAATCATGTTTTGTTGTAAAAACAAGTGACACATTAGGAACGATCTGAGTATACTGCGAATGTCACACATTTATGCACAATTGTCTGGAGAAAGTCAGTGAATGCACAACCGCACCCAGCTGAAACTGGCTAGGCAGGAATACACAAAACACACACAAAACACACTCAAACAGCCACCCACCCACATCAGGTATTACAACTTTCTGCATGGTTTCAGATTGCAGTCCTTCTATTGCTTCGCAGTAGCCACATGCTGCAACCCTTCCAAGGCCCACTTCTACAGGCAAATTTCTGCTGTCCTTTTTCAAGATAATGTATCGTATTTATTGTAGTACTTGCTTTTCTTAACTATTTGACACTTGAAATTGTGCTACTGTTTCTATTAGGTTAATGTGTCCATGACAAAGTCTTTGTGGGCTGTACCTCTAATCTCATTTCCCCCATAAGCCCTGTAGCTTTTATTGCATGATTTTGCAGTGTGGCGATTTTTAGGATCACATATATCACATTATAGCAGAACTCACTGTAAGTTTTCTTTCAACTGCTCAGTATCGAAGTCGTTCATTTTTTGGTTGACTCGAGAAAAAATTTATTCACAGCCATGTTTTAGACCTGGCCCTAAAAATAAAACCATCCAACTTAATGATATGCTTCAAGATGTCATAAAAACCAACCAGCAAGAGCTCAATGGGGAGTGAGGATGGAAATGCTTACTACCAAAGACCACATTCAGAGAATGCTTTAAACTCACTTTAAAAGCAAAAGAAAAACCTGAGAACAGAGGAGGTGTAAAAGGCATTTTAGTCCATGAAACATACAAATAATTCCTGGAAACTGCTAAATAACTTGAGAATGCTAGAAATATAAAGAAGGGCAGGTGAACGGCAAACCACGAAATGAGAACATTAAATACCTGAGACTCCACAGGCTTAGGGAGCATTCTGAAAATCAACAGAGAGAAGAACGTAAGCTAAGGTTCCTGCAATTAAAATGATTCTGTTTCATAGCTAACTTTTCACAGAGAATCAACTCCAAAAAATTAAGTGCCAAAAGCAGTGAGGGGACTTTAAAAAGAAAAATAACTATTTTGAGATAAAAGTACCAATTAATGAGATAATGTACCTTTAAATCAACTCTAGATAATTAATTATATTTTCCTAAGACTAAATAAGACTAGCCTGATTAAACCACAGAATTGTGAACCTAGAGACACACAATAATGTTGTATTAGATGTGGCAAGTGCAATGTGCCACATGACAGCAGGGGTTCTCACCCTGACTCTGCAACGGGATTGCCAGGGGACTTCTAAAAAATGCTCCTTGGAGAAAGGGGAACTCTTTTTTTTTTTTGATTTTTTTTTTTTTTTTTGAGACGGAGTCTCACTCTGTCACCCAGGCTGGAGTGCAGTGGCGCGACCTCGGCTCACTGCAAGCTCCGCCTCCCGGGTTCACGCCATTCTCCTGCTTCAGCCTCCCGAGTAGCTGGGACTACAGGCGCCCGCCACCATGCCTGGCTAATTTTTTTTAAATATTTTTTAGTAGAGACGGGGTTTCACCGGGTTAGAAGAGGAACTCTTTCTTATCCACTGTCAGTAGGAATGTAAATTAGTACAGTCATTATGGAAAAGAGTATGCAGGTTTCTTCAAAAATAAATCTACCATATGATCCGGCAATCACTTGACTAGATATTTATCCAAAGAAAATGAAATCAGCACGTCAAAGAGGCATCTGCACTCCCATGTTTATTGCAGCAGTATTCACAATAGCCAAGATATGAAACCAACCTAAGTGCCCATCAACAAATGAATGGATAAAGAAAATGTTGGTATATACACACAATGGAGTATTATTCAGCCTTAAAAAAAGAGTGAAATCCTGTTATTTGGGTCAACATGGGTGAACCTGGAGGACATCATGCTAAGTGAACGAAGCCAGGCACATTAAGACAAATACTGCATGATCTCACTCACATGTGGAAGCTAAAAAGTTGACCTCACAGGGAGTAAAACAGTGGTTACTAGAGGCTGGGAAGTAGTGGGTGGGGGGAGAAGAGTCAAAGGTCAGTTAACAGATATAAAATTAAAGCTAGACCGGAGGAATAAGTTCTGAGTGTCGTATGGCACTGCAGAGTGACTAAAATTAGCAATAATTTATTGTATATTTTCAAATAGAGCAGATTTTAAATGTTACCAAAATAAAGAAATGATAAATGTCTGAAGTGATGGATTTGGTCATTACATATTGCACATATATATCAAATTATATTGTACATAATAATTGTAATATGTACATAAGTGTTGAGTAAAAATAGTAAAAAATAAAAGGGGGGAAAAAAGCTCCCTGGGCCACACTTGCAGGCACCCGAGGACTCTGGGTGGAGCTCAGGCCCCGTGGTGTGTGATCAGACGCACCCCGAGGCTGGGCACCCGCTGCAGGTCGGTGTGTTTGGTGTCCATTGCTGATGTTGCACATTCGAGGCCCAAAACAGGATATTCAGGGTAACTCAAAGGAAATGGTTCAGATCAGAACACTGAGATTGCAGCAGCAGTAACAATTCCCATAAATCAGAGGAAGGACTGTTCAAGTCCAGGTAATTAACACAGATAAATAACAATGATAAAAGGGGAAGCAGGCGGCTCAGGATCTGGCAACCAGCAGGGAGCTCTGAAGCACGTACTGGTGGGCACCACCTGGATTACGCCGTGCTGCTCGTTAAAGCTGCACCCAAGGAAACACGCTCACCCATTCACAGTGAAATGGTCTCCAATGTAGACACACTTTAACTGCTGGTTCTTGTACTGCTTGTATTTATACTTTTTTAACAATATCATTCAGGAAGATAAAAATGTTCACATATTAATTAATCATCTGTCCTCAGGATTCATTGCCCATGCATTGATAACTCTTTCCAACTTTGTTTTATTCTTCACCAAAAGCAAGAGGGGAAATCCCAGTGAACGATCATACTGGCTTTTCAGAGCAAGGTGGTCACAGGAGGTCAGAGACACAGATACTGAGGCAACGGGTCGGCAACCAGCATCTGTGGACCCATCACTGCTGGCCGGGCAGTACCAGGTGTCTCACCCAACCCCCAAGCCATAATCCCCTGAAGATGAAAACTTCAGGTCCAGGATGCCTAACCACCTCGCCTGCCCAAGGTCACTGAGCAGGTGAGGGGTGCTAAGCTCATACCAAATTCAGGCCCATGAGGCTGCACAAATGCAGCCTCCGTCATACCCAGCTGCCACCACAGAGGCAGGAACGGTACCTACGTGAAAAACGAACTAGCAAAAGAAAAGTGGTGGAAAAATGAGTGGTTACTGACAAGAAACCTCTCCACGGAGGTTAGGAATATTCCCAGGGAATGCTGGTGAAGACTTTATGGAGTTGGGATTCTAACTGACTCTCAAGTGCTTTGCATGCAGTTGGTGCTCAATAAGTATTTTTTGAATGTAATTGGTTAAAAAAAAAAAGTATATGGCATGTCGAGGTACTATGCCATTAGCAAAGAAACGGAGGTGGCCAAATACACTACATACTCAGGGGATGATGAAGGTTTACCATGAAAAGCCAGGATGGAAACAAACAGACTGCAGCCAGCCTTTGAAGGGTTAAATACCAAGTTAAAAAGCATATGACACAAAGGTGGAGGCATTGGAAAGGGCACAAGGAAGTCTACAGCTCACCCACCTACGAGGAATAACAAAAAGCTGAGCCTAGGAAGTGGGGGCTGAGAAAGATCTTCCAGGGCTCAGAAAATGTGTTCCGAGCCAGCTTAAGGAGAAAAAATAAAACATAAAAAGATCAAGAGCTGTTGTAACTCCCCAATATGTCTTCTTGTTTATTAAATGTTAAGGACTTCGAACTAGAGTCCTCTTGTTACTTCTGGCATCAACCTACGGGAAGGGCAAGTGGACTGGTTTTCACAAATGGGGAGAAGGCCGGTGCTGGGCCACCATGTGGTGAGCTTCAGTTACTTGGGCAGAGAGAGAAAACGAGGCTTAGTCACTAGTATTCCATGTCCTGTGGAGGGAAAATGTGGAAAGTGACGCACTAGGCACCTATGTTGGTGCTTCCTGCCCTGTGCTTAAAACACACCCATCTCTGTCCTATTTATCTATCTACCCACCTACCCTGAAGCTGAAACTGACCTTCCCTTCTTGCCATGCCTACAGCTGGATTGAAGACCACCATTTTCCAGAGGAATGGCTCAGGGATGTATCATGCTGATGGAATTACTAAGAAGCCACACATACACACACACACACACACAGATGTATCATGCTGGTGCAGTTACTGAGAAGCCACACATACATACAAACACACACATGCAATTTAAAACTGAACAAATTTGGCTGGGTGCAGTGGCTGACGCCTCTAATCCCAGCACTTTAGGAGGCCGAGATGGGTGGATCACTTGAGGTCAGGAGTCTGAGACCAGTCTGGCCAACATGATGAAATCCCGTCTCTGCTAAAAATGCAAAAATTAGCTGCATGTGGTGGCGCGTGACTGTAATCCCACCTCCAGAGGCGGAGGCAGGAGAATCACTTGAACCTGGGAGGCAGAGGTTGCAGTGAGCCGAGATCACACCAGTACACTCCAGCCTGGGCGACAGAGCGAGACTCCATCTCAATCAATCAATAAAACTGAACGAATTTGATTAATGAGCTCTGCCATTTCACTTTAACCACTCCTGCTTTTATCCCTCCTACTGCTTAAAGCTGCTGGGGCACTGCTGTTCCAGGAACGGCGCCCTCCACTGTTTGCATGACCCGCCGGAGGCTTGGCAGCAGAGTCCCGTCTCACTGGGGACACCTATGGACTTTGTCTTTAAATAATTATAGTCCAGTGGTGCCATAATATATATTGTATATGCATATTTTTCACAAGTCCTACATATTAGCAAATGGAATCTAGAGCATTTTTTATTGTGACACAAGGCACAGAGCATACAATTTACCACTTTTAAGTGTGCAGTTTGATGGCATTAAGCACATTCACGCTATTGTGCAACCATCACCACCATGCATCTCCAGAACTTTTCGTCTCCCCAGACTCCAACTAAATACCAACTTTCCACTCCCACGCCCCAAGCCCTGGTAAAGCACCACTCTCGTTTACTCTAGGTACCTCTTGTAAGTGGAACTGTTTAGTTATTTATCCTTTTTAGATGGCCTTATGTCACCGAGCACCATGTCCGCAAGGTTCATCCATATTGCAGCATGTGTGAGAATCTCCATGCTTTTTAAGGCTGATTCATATTCCATTCTGCGGATAGGCCACATTTTGTCTATTTATTCAGCTGATGATAGACACTTGGGTTGCTTCCACCTTTTAGCTATTGATGATGTTAACATAGGGGTACAAAGATTTCTTCACCACCCGGCTTTCAATTCTTTGGGTATATACCTAGAAATAGAACCGCTGCATCATGTGGTCATTTTAATTTTTTGAAGCTATATTTAATAGTTTCCTAAATTATCTAGAATGTGTTTAATTAGTAATTATAATAAAACTATTGGAAAAGATTAAAATCATGGACTGTGATTACTTCTATTTCCTTGTTAAATGTCTTCACTTTAGTTCTCCTGGGATGGAGAAACAGGGATACAAGGAGGTAAAATCCTTTACATGTTGGAGAGAGGTTAGTAACTCTAACCTGAAAACTCGAAGAATTTTTTTGAATAATGCTCCAAAAGCTGAAACTTTTCACCAATGTAACACTCAACGGAAATGCTCATCGTGGATTTCTGATTTGAGATGCTCAACTGGTAAGTATAATGCAAATATTCCAAAATCTGACAAATGTGAAATCTGAAACACTTCTGGTCCCAAGCATTTCAGACAGGGTTATTTAACCTGTATTATCAATGATAAATTGTGCAAGAATCTCTAGCCAATTTTGAGGCTATCTTAGCTTAGAGACAATACCTTCACAAACTCTTACTTCTTTTTTTTTTTATATCCTGGAACTGCTGTATGCCAGCCAGCCTTGCAGTTTTAATGTATACACACAGGCCACACATGTACCCAGTGTAGGATCCAGGCCTCATCAAGCTTGTGCCTCTGGTTCTGTGCAGGAGCCTCACTCTTAAAGACACTCATTTTGCTGAATGACTGACAGTAGGATAACGAAAAGAACTTGAACTTGTTTTGTTCCGGTCTTCTGGAACAAAACACTCTAATTAGCAATATCACCATAAACTATGCAAAACTATACAGTTAGCGCAGGTTTCAACTAGAGACAGTCAAGTGTCTTTGCCCACGTCTGAAGGTTCTGTAGTATAAAGGCCCATACTTATAGATTACTATGTGTAGAAGAATCCTGTGTCAATTTTAATCTTCATTTTGAGTTGTGCTGAGCTCCTCTGAGAGCATTAATCCTTAAGGGGATTTGGACTCCTAAATCAGAAAAGCAGCAAAGTCTTTAGTAACCCAAAGGAAATCGAAGTGTTCATCCTTACTCAGTTCTTCAAAACATACACAGAGATAAAGCAGTTTCAAAGCGATCCCTACAACCAGCATTTTAGAATCAAAGTTAAAAACACTGAGGAAAGGGAAATCCTTAAAAGTGAACTCCATTATTTGAAGAAGTTAATGGAAAACTTTATTCAAGCGCGGTCAATCTTTAATTACAGACGCAAATTCATGCTATTTAGTTTTACTTTTGACAAACTAAAACAAAAACATCAGAAATTACTACGCAATATCAATCCTATCATTCTAACTAAGCATATAGGGATAAATTCCTAAAGCAAATTAAACAAGACAGGTGGTACTTTAAATTTAGTTATTTCCTTTTTAAAGCCTTTGAAAATACATCAAATATTGGAGAGAAAAAAGCAACAACCTTTATGTTATAATGTCACCTCAAAGTGCCAAAAAAAAGGGGGGGGGGCAGAACATCACCCAACCTTTCTTTTCAGTGCAGAGAATAAGGCAGAATTAACAATAACAACAACAATTAAAAAGGACAAATGAAAATACAAAAATAACCATAGCTATCGACATGGTATAATTCTCCAGCAGTGGGATCTTATTATTGATCACATCTTCAAAAACTACATTTCCTGCAGAAATGATTCTACTTTGACATGGGATTGAATGATCAATACTTTTCTTCATGTTTATCCTGACTCTCAGAACCAACTGGCTTTTGCAACTATTGTTTTCATAAGACAACTGATCAATTACAATCTAATTTCTCTATTTCATTAACAGTGTGTGGCCGTTAATTTCAAAACCTAGATATTAAAGGAAGATACTATCTTGGGTAGATACATGAATAGTAGCTACAGGCAAACATCTACTTCAAAGAAAATTAGCTCACAACCTATAGTTATTGCATCCAATGTGTTCTAAGCTAAGACGTTCAAGTGCTAATTTTCCACCCCTAGTTCACCTCACAGAGGGCAGAACTTCAGACACCTCATTTGGAAGTACATCTGTAATTACCCAGAGTAAGGAGGGGTTCAAGGTGTTTGCTGATATTCATCATCATGTCTACTTCAACCTTCTCCCTGCAATGCCAACAGCAACAGCCTAAGAATGAAAACTTGCCATCTATACTTTTAATCCTTCCTCAGTGCTGCCATTTCTATCAATTTCTCAGTATTCTAACAGCAGACTACACCAAAGGACAATTAACTTCTGACTTCTGCCCCCCACTTCATCTGTAAATCGGAGATTAGAGAAACAGTTTAAACTTGAGTAACATTTACATTAATTTTAACTGTGTCTCAACTGCTATCATAATGAGGCTCTATGCTTGGTTACAATGTATTAGTATTAGTATACATTATAGACCTCCCTTAAAACTACAAAGGCAAAGCTACTCAAAGTCTAACAAACCCCAACAAGAAGCTAGCGGCAGAACCACCACACAGAAACAGTCAGTCTTGTGGTTAGCTCCTAAAAGCAAGCCACATACTCAGTTCTGGTGTTTCTAGAGGCCAAAGCAAGGATGGAAACGCCATTAAAACGAAGATTCTAAGACAAAAACAAACCTATGACTTCAAAAGACAATCTGGTACTTCTAAGATCTAAGATAAATTTCTCCATGAGGTTCTTTAAAAGAAAACAAGCCAACACACACATAGACACTCAACCACCCCAAAACCATAAGGAAGGAATAACCATGAAAGCAAACGATTTGATAAGACAGGGCAGGTTACAAACTCAGTAGAATCCACAAAGTACAGAAAAGCAACAGTTTTCCTAGCATTGCCCCTGTATACAGAGCTATTTTTTCCTTCCTAAAGAAAAATCTTACTTGGAACCTCAAAAACAAAACGGATCAAAGCTGAAGTTCTCTGGTGGGCAGGGTGCTCTGGACTCCCCATCAGCCTCAGGGCCCACCTGTCAGAGGTGGAGGTGTGGCAGTGGGCCGTGCACGTGGCCAGGCCTCCATCCGGGGTACCTGCCCAGCATGAGGGGATCACTACACACTACACCTCCTTGGAATTAGGAAGCATCATAAGAAAATGGAAATATGTGATTTTATTTTAGAGAGAAACAGGCTGTTGAGAGAATGGAGAGATGCCTCTGTCCTCACAGGCTCAGCTGCTTGGCTGGAATGAACCACTCAGATAAAGGTGAATGGTCAGCATCACTGAAAGAGGGGGAGGCAGGCCAGGGGACAGAAACTGCCCGCCCCCCCCCGATACATCTGGTCACCCTTCCAGGCGTCATTCTGTTGGCCTTTCAATTAATTTTCAGACCATGAGAACAGGGTCTTCATTTACCTCACAGTGAACTTTTCAAAACCTGTTCTCAGTGGTTGTGACATTCACTCAGTCTTTATTTTTAGTTCTCTTCAGTCGAGAGTTTCTCATCTCATGAGTTCTTTGAGGAAATTATCCACAAGTACATAGATTTTATATAAAGACTATCCTTGAAATTTAAAACATTTGGCATGTAGCGTCATCTCCTAAGAGAAGGCTAGAGGTATGCAGTTTGTAAAAAAGATGGCCACTCCAAACCTGAAGGTTTAAAGCAATCAAGTTAATCATTCTGTAGACTAGAAAGTATCTGAGACAAGTCTCAATCCATTTAGAGGTGTATTTTACCGAGGTTAAGGATCATGGCCCTGACATAGCCTCAGGAAATCCTGAGAACATGTGCCAAGGTGGCTGGGTTACAGTTTGGCTTTAGACATTTTAGGAATACAGAAGTTATGGGCAAAGACATAAATCAATACATGTAAGGTATACATTGGTTTGGCCTAGGAAGGCAGGATGGGGTGGCGGGGTGGGGAGGCTTCCAGGTCATGGGTGGATCCAAAGATTTCCTAACTGGCAATTGGTTGCAAGAGTAAGCCCTATCTGAAGAGGTGAATCCAGAATAAAGAAATGCTTGAGTTTAGATATGGAGGTGTGGAAGCCAAGCTTCTTGCCGTACAGACGAAGTCTCCAGGTAGCAGGCTTCATATATAGGGTGACTGTCTCTTATCAGAGCTGAAAAGGTGTCAGCCTCTCTGGAAAAGACCTGGTAAGGGAAGGAGATTCTCTACAGAATGAAAATTTCCCCCACAAGAGAGCTTTACAGGGGCATTGCAGAATATGTCAAGTTATATTTTGGGATAAAATACTTTGGCTTCCTTCAGGGCACCTATTATCTGTCATGTGATGCTCTACCTGACTCAGGTTGGAAGTTGGTATCTGGTTGCTACAGAGTCTGTTCTGTCAGTATTAGGATTTCTCTTTTAATGTTAATGCTAGTCAGTTGTGTCTAAACTCCAAAGCGGTAAGGGTATAATGAGGTGTGTCTGCCCCCATCCCCCACATTATGGCCTGAACTAGTTATGTAGGTTTCTTTAGGGTCCCCTTGGCCAAGAGGCAGTTCACATTCCAAGCTGCAGGGCTTAGAATGCTATTTTTGGTTTACAATTCTAATGTCAAAACACATAAGTTTATCAAACACCCAAAACAACCCTAATATCAGGGCCAAGCAAAATGTGTTCACTGGCTAGAGAGCAGAGTGGTAAAATGTGTTTTGGAAGATGGTTTGACAACTTGTATCAAAAATATTAAACAAAACAAAACAAATCTTTGACAAATCCGAATCTAGGAATTTATTCATCATCATGGATTTCCACTGGGAGGTGATCGAAAGGATGCTCTTTGCAGTGTGACTAAACAGTGGGGCATCTGCTGTCATTAAAGTAGACTGTGGTTATGCCTAACAACACAGAGTTAAACATGATCTACGAGGTTGGGCCAGCCCCAGCACACAAGACAGAGATGTGTGTTCTCACATGCAAACCACAGGCAGGGCACAGTGAATAAAGGCAAGGATACGTGCCCGACCTCCTAGGCTCAGAAGCCAGCTCTGTCCTGGACTCGTCCACTTGCACCGACTCATCCCTGCCTACTCTCCCAGCTGGAGGACAGTCTACTCTTCACCCTGTTCCCACAACTGTGAACACTGTGGTACCGTGCCGGGCTGTTACTGCTGTACTGAAACACCTCTATGCGTGGGCCATGTGTGGGCCCCGTTCTAAGAAACCATGTCACAACCCACCCCAGTCACAAACCCATTCTGCAAACCCTGTGTTCTATGCAAACCAAAGTCAAATGAAAACCAGCTTAATAGCTCAGAATGAAGAATAGGCCCGTGCACAGCTAAAACGCTGGTTACAGCTGGATAAACTATCAATTACAACTGTTCTTGAACTTGCAGGATGGCTGAGGTTGCAAGGCAGCCACACAGCCTGCAATCTGAGGAAAGATGAGCCGCTGCAAGGAAAGCTGGGGCCATGTGGACTGTCTCAACTGCGGCAGAACACAAGAGACAGATAATAGTAAGAAACTCAGCTGAGCTTCTAAAGACCTGCAAGAGGCTGCGTGTGGACTGGCACGACAGCGTAGCAGTTCGCTAATGAGAAAGTGTGGAGGTGAAGCAGGCTTTCAGGCACAGAGGAGAGGACGTGCCACCCCCATGAGAAAAGCACGGAGCCGTACTCTCCTGCCCTGCCCTCTCTCTGGCCTCTGGGGGAAGGGCAGCAAACCCTGTTGATCTACTAGTGCCAAAGGAAGGAGAGTGTGGAAAAAAAAAAAAAAAAGAACTCTTTCACTCCTTGAGCAGAAGAAAAAAATCATGAAACACTTCACCCCCACAGGTGAGACACACAGGGCCTAAGACCAGAACAACCAAAGATTACCCTGTTCCCACCCTCCACTGCAGCCCCTATCCCAGCCTAGCAAGAACCAAGTAAAAATCAACAATAGTCCACTCCTAGGAGAGGAGAAACCATAGAGAGAGCAGTCAGTCCTCTATGACTCAGGCATACATGGTAATAAATTATGTTTCCCAAGGTGAGAAGGTTAGGAGGAGACAGGTAAGAACTTGGGTGGCCAACAGGCTAGACCCGGGCTCCGCCAACAAGGGCTCCTGGCCAAATCTGGGCTGCTTCCTGTTTTTGTGAATAAAGTTTTGTAAGCCACGTTCATTTGTTTACCTGTTGTCTTTGGCTGCTTTCAGGCTACAATAGTGGAGTTAAGTAGTAGTAGAGACCGTCTGGCCTCAAAGTGTAAAATATCTACTAAATGGCTCTTTAAAGGAAAAGCGTGCTGATCCCTAGACTAGACGGTCCTCTTTTGTCCAGTATAACCCTCCTAGTAAGGAAGTATAGAGAGTTCCCTGGAAGGCCGGAAGAAGGTGGAAGTATTTTAAAGCCAAGGGCTGTTGTTTTTAAATCTAAAATTGTTTGCCAGTCATGCAACCAGGCTTTCTGTTATCTGCTTAAAGATGGAAGTATCAACTTTTCCCCAATCCTATAATCACTTTTCAAACAGTTTTAAAACACTACGAGCCACCATTCTCTATGATTTTAGCTTTGGTGATTCTATTGCCACTGCCACACACTTTTTGCTTTTTAACAGAGGCCCTAAATGTATCAGGGCCTCATGCTGTGGAGAGGAGAGAAGCTCAGATTAGCAAATTACCGATGTAATGCTTTAAAAGATGGCACTTAAAACCACCCCTGAAATAAAAAAATTTTAATTAAATAATAAGGAAGAGTGTTAATAAAATTACCCTCATTCAAGAGATTTTCGTTCCTTGGCTCGAATTTCGAGCACTGGGAAGAAAATTCTGAAGACACAATAAGGTCTCTGCCAAGTTAGCTTTGATCCCAGGGAAACAAACTTTTAAGAGTTTAGTAATGCTGGTCTACATCTGCAAGCCACCAGCATTAACAGCCTGGCCTGGACTCTGAGAAAGGCTCTGATGACTTCTGCTAGTCCACCTCACCGGCAAGTCACTCTCCTCAGAGCAGTCAGCAGCTGCTATGGTTTGAACATTTATCCCTTCCAAGACACATCCTGAAATGTAACCCCCAGTGTGGCAGTATTGAGACGAGGGGCCTTTAAGAGGCAATTGGGTCATGGGGGCTCTGCCCTCATGAATGGGTTATCACGGGAGTGCGACTGGTGGCTTCATAAGAAGAGGGGGAGAGTGAGCTGAGCTGGCACATAAGCAGGCTCTGCCCCCTCGCCATGTGATGCCTGGGAACTCAGCAGAGTCCTCACCAGCAAAGAGGCTCCACCAGAGGGGGCCCCTTGATCCTGGACTCCTCAGCATCTATCACTTCAAGAAAGAAAAATTCCTTTTCTTTGTAAATTACGTAGTTTCAGATATTCTCTCACAAATATCTGAAAATGGACTGAGAAGACAATCAAATGTCAAATGTCAATCAGCACACATCATGTTTCCACTTCAATCCCTTCACCATCTGAAAAAAACCCAAACTTCTTACCCTGGCTACAAAGCCCTACGGCGTTCCGCCCCTGCCAGTCAGCAACTGTAAGTGCGCCTTGCTACCTGCTTTTGATGAACAGGGTGCTACTCCTCTCCCAAGGAGCCACTGCAGGGAACAGTGACCCTCCAGGCCACGTGCAGATGATGATGAGCTGGGGTTGTCTACACAAATGAGAAGCGGCCGTGTTATCCTATTACTCCCAGGAAGAATGGGTCAAATCAGATTCACCAAAACCAACGTCAACATTTTTCCTAATGGTCAGGAAAAAAAAAAATTCCCAACTTGGAAACAGGTGAAAGGACCACGTATCTTTTCAACATCATGCTGGGGCACTGGGAGCCACTCCCACCAGGGATCATCTCGTTCTTTATGGCCATGTACCTTCATTTGACTGTTTAGCGCTGTTTAGAGTATTTTACAGCTCCATATGGATGTCAATTTTAGAAAACTGAGAGTGATATAAATCAATGGCATTGCTTAGAGATTGAAATGACACCTGCTCAGGAGAAAAGACAACAGCAAAGGTTAGTATGGCTGCCCTGCAGGCCGTTAACCGGTTTTGTCTCTTTCTCTGAAACTATCCCAGCGTTGTTTCAGTGCCTACACATGGTCTCCTGCATTTTCTTTGACTCAACTTTACTATCTTTTTGATTCCTTCGCTGAGTTAAATGAATACTTGACATGAATGGATTCTGTATTTGTAAGTCATGTTTTTACTTACTGGAAGGTGAAATTTGAAAGTGGATGTCCTGTAACCCCTAAAGGTTTAAAACTAACCTAGGAAGTTATTTAAAGTTAAATAATTTTGAAAATTATAGATTCTTTTCTAATATTTTATTTAAAGCTAAGGGGCGGGGGTTAGAAACACCATGCTCTATGACATGAACTCTGAGGCTTTTAGCTATCCCTAGAACCAATACCAAAAGTGGTTTGTGCCTCTGGCTACAAACCAAGGACCCCCTTTAGCAAACAGTACCATGAATACTGTATCAATTGTGAAGAAAGTGGTGCGGACACATTTTGTTCACTAAACCAGGAAAAACTTTCCTAATGACCTAGGGCAAAACTGTTTTTCAAGTCTCATTACCGTGCACAGTTATACTTCTACGGAGCAACTACTGTGCGCATGTATGTGTGAGAGCACTGTGGATCTGACTCATCAGCACACTCTTATCACATGCCACCAGACAGCTGAAAGCCAAATCTGCAGCCCACCTGCAGTCACCAATGCCACGGCATGCATACCCTGGACTGGACTAACCATAACCCTGGCTTTAATATGTTTTCATTTCAGTTTGTCATGACATCTTCGCTTGGATTTAAAAACAGAACACTATATCCCTGTATTTCCAAACTGTCAACTGCCTTAAAAATCCTTTTTCGGCTGGGCGCAGTGGCTCACGCCTGTAATCCCAGCACTTTGGGAGGCCAAGGCGGGTGGATCACGAGGTCAAGAGATCGAGACCACGGTGAAACCCCGTCTCTACTAAAAAATACAAAAAAAAGATTAGCCGGGCGTGGTGGCAGGCGCCTGTAGTCCCAGCTACTCGGGAGGCTGAGGCAGGAGAATGGCGTGAACCTGGGAGGTGGAGCTTGCAGTGAGCCGAGGTCGTGCCACTGCACTCCAGCCTGGGCGACAGAGAGAGACTCCGTCTTGGGGAAAAAAAAAAAAAAATCCTTTCTCAGGTAAGGTCTAGAGGTGTATAAACCATCAGAAACACTCCACTACCCACTTCATGCCTTCTATCCAAACCATCGCTTCCAACACTGCTGCTTTATAAAAACCCGACTAATCCTTCCAGGCCCACGGAGACACCTTTTCCCTCTTCATAGTTTCTGCAGACCTCAACCAGACATGCTCGCTCCTTGAGCCTTTGAACACAGTCTCTTAAGTTGCTCAGCTGAGAGCACTTACCTGTTGCCTTATGTTATAACCTTTTGTGCAACTGGCTTCTCCCCAGCCCAGCAAGCACTGGCTTTCAGAGGACAAATCAGTCACATGGTCCCATGGGGGTCACCCAGTGAACCTCATGACATGGCACATAGTATGCAGTGTGCTTAATAAATTGGACAGAAGGAAAAGAGCAGAAAGTATGAAGGGAGTTAAAGGCAGAGTACTCATTCATTTATGTGTGCCTCTTCTGGCCATAAAACCACAGACAAGAACTTAATCTGGCAACAAGACAAAGACACAAAAATCAGAGTCACTGTTTAACAAACCTGAGCAAGTGAGCACTGCCTGGTGTTGTTCCAGGTGCTAATGCCGTGAGACTGAGTAAATAAACATATGTGCTGCCTAACTTCCCGCAGCTTAGCTTAGGTAAAGAAACCAACACATTAAGCATGCAACTAGAACTGTGGCTGAGCGCTATGTTTTAGATGGAGGGGGAAAATCGGGGAGTCTTCTCCCAGGAAGTGCCGTCTGTGCTGAGGCCAGAAGGATAAGAGGTCAACCAGATTAAAAAAAAAAAAGGTATGTGTGTATATGTATATATATGAATACATGTGCAAAACAGGAGGAAAGAAATTGGCCAATTCCAGAAAGTGGAGGGAGCCTAGCATATTGGAAGCCCAGTAAGCAATGAAAGGCCAGCCCCAAAGGGTCCTGTAGGCCACAGTAAGAAGTATGAAATTTGGCCAGGTGCGGTGGCTCATGCCTGTAATCCCAGCACTTTGGGAGGCCGAGAAGGCAGATCACAAGATCAGGAGATCGAGATCATCCTGGCTAACACGGTGAAACCCCATCTCTACTAAAAATAAAAAAAAAAAAATAGCCAGGCGTGGTGGTGGGAGCCTGTAGTCCCAGCTAAATCGGGAGGCTGAGGCAGGAGAATGGCATGAAGACGGGAGGCGGAGCTTGTAGCAAGCTGAGATGGTGCTACTGCACTCCAGCTTGGGCAACAGAGGGAGACTCCGTCTCAAAAACAAACAAAAAAAAGTATGAATTTTATCTCAAGTACACCAGAAAGCGAAGACACACCCTTAAGCAGGGCAGTAATATATGACTTACATCTATAAAAAATCCTCCTGGTGTGTGAGAAATGGATTGGAAAAAGGCAATAAAGACTGATGTCAATTGCTTGGACAAGGTGGTGGCAATGGTGAGCAGCAGAGCTGATAATAAGGATGCAGGAAAGGGGAGGGCATGGCTTTCGGCTGGAGCTACTGAATAGCTGGAGGTAGCACTTACGGACGCCGGAAAGCCTGGACACAGCAGCCCTTCCCTGATTCCTCACATGGAGGGAGTCAGTAATTACCCTAGTGTTTACAATAAGTTTAATACAGGGCTTAGTAATGACATGATAAATGTATCTTCTCTCCAACACACTTGCTTCTCCTTTCTTTCTGGATGAGTTCCTTTAAAAGACTGCCCTCATTCTCACAGAGCAACAAAACCAAAGGCGTCAGGTGAAATACAGAGAACACCATCTTATGACCTGGGGCCCCCCAAGGCACGGTGTGTCTATGACTGTGACCACTTGCTCATGCATATTTTGTACACTCCTGTACACGAACATGGAAACTTTTAAATCCCACGTCTAGTCTAAGCATAGAACCTTTTGTGGCTTAACCAGGTAAGCAGAACGCAGCGAAGAACGGAGCCTCTCAACAGACAGGCAGAATGTGACCATGCACAGGAGAGGTGACCTCCAGTGAGGAAGTGCCACGGTATGGATGAAGGGGCACAGCATTTCCACCTGGGGATGTGAGAAGCTGCAGGGCAGAGGATGCATAGCAGGTCAGGAGGTCAAAGGACTGCCTGTGGGCTACTGGTTCTCCTGGATCAGAATTTAAAGTTCCATTTCTGCAGGATGGAGGGGAGAAAATGGGGAAAGAGAGACGTAAGCTCAGAGGTGACGTATGATCTTGTAAGTACTATTTAAAAGTAGAAGCATTTATGCTTAAAAAACAGACCCTGGAAGCTTGGAGAGCCAAGGATATAGGTTGCCTGTGGGGGGCAGGAGGAGAGGGTTCTGAGGAGGTATTTTCAATAAGTAGCTAGCTTAATCTGCAAAGCTAAAG